>NC_000001.11:209093677-209245193 GCF_000001405.40 Homo sapiens
TGGTAGTTTTGATTACAAACATTTCTCAAACCTCATCAACTTGTATTCTTGAAGTTGGTGAGTTTTATTGTATGTAAATTTTATCTCTATAATCCTGATTTAAAACATATATATTTGCCCTCCTTTTAGGGTAAAAAATGGTTCAGTTCTTAGAAACATTCTAACCTATCTCTTGCTTCTAAAGGTGAGTAAAAACATGTCAATTCCTTCTAATTAGTTAACCTGCCCCAAGAGTAGAGAGAAGTTTTCTAATACAGAGGGGGACAAAGTTGGTTTCTTAGTGGATCCCCCCAGTCGTCAAGGGACACTTTACTACTTTTCTTTCCCCAGAATTGATCCTGTCAGTGGCCCCAGTATTCCAATTTTCATGGCCACAGCTCTGAGTATCCCAGATATGAATATCCTGGCTCTGATGAAATAAAGGTCAGCAAACAAAACACTGGGAAATTATCTCCCTTCTCTTGACTTCAGTTCTTACCCTAAACAAAGGGAGATGGGTGGATAACAAGGATTTTTCATGGTACTTCCAGCTCTAAAAGTGTACTATACAATGCTGCCTTAGATATTCAGTGTATATTGGTGTGTGCATGCATAAATATGTTGTTAATAATGTGGGTTGAACAAGAGAGAGGTGGACGCTACAGAGTTGACAGATTATTTCATCTAGTTAAAACAGCAGAAGTCTGAATGATTTATGGGAATTCTTCAGAGTGTATAATGCTTATTAATTTAATAAAAATGGTTATTGCTTATAATAATGGAAACTACTTAATAAAAATAAGATGGAAATATCCTTAAAGTAATAATTTGATTTCAGCTCTGATTCTTCTCATGTTAACTTCTCTGGCCAAAACTCAGTTTCTAACACTAGTGCTACCATTTGACTCCACCAGAGGGGTCTACTCTGAGCCCCACAGTTTAGCAGGCTCCTCTCTGTCCTACTCTTCCAACTGCTCTCCACTCCATGGAATGAAAAGTCCATGGGCAGAAAGGACATGCCTACCCAGTGACTGTGGTTTCCCTCCCACCTCATCCATCTAGACCACACTCAGAGTACCTAGACCCCACAATCCCCTGCCCAATCAGCTTGGAGTTCACTGCCAGCAGCTAGGTAGGTTTTCTCCCAGGTCTTTCTGTTTTCCCATGCCTCAGATTGAGGGGAAGAAAGAGGTTTAGTGATGAAGATTGGACACAGCTTGATTATACAGACTGTGGCCTTCACATGCATGCTCACTGAGGCCCTTGTGATGCAACTCACAGACAGCAGTGGGAAGAAAAAGAAGGGTCATAGGTCAGGGACCAGGTGTCCCCATGTCCCCATGCTACCACGTTCAGCAACAGAATTCTGAGGAGTCTAAGAGTTCTGCATGCACACTGGGGAGTAAGGCTGTTATAAATGTCAATGTAGACATTTAGAACATAACTTATTTAACAGTTAGTTGGTTTGATTTAAAATGTTTAAATAGGTAGACATATGGAATATGAGCCTCCATTTGGTACTTTTGCCTTGGGGTTCTGTAACCATTAGGAGCAGGCCTGTTCAGAACCAGTAGACAGGTTGAGGGTGTTTACTTGCTATAGGCAATGTACCTCAGCCTGGGCTTACATAGAAATGTCTGAAGTGCACCATCTCTGTGCCATTGACTCCCTTCCTGTTATTGAATGCAAGAATTTAGACCATGATTTTCAATGCTCTGAGTCCCTTCTATTTATCATTCCACTTAATTTAAAACAAAATAAGTGGAAGGATTCTCATTATAAACTCTGATTAGTGGTATATTTAATATATACTGACCTTAATTTTCTACCACAGAGATTAGTTTAGGAGAAAGCCAAGTCTAGCATGAAAAGATTGGGGAAGGGAGGTGTTTTCAAATGAGTTCAAAAAAAAAAAAAAAAAAACCATTAAAAGTAATTTTGAGCTGTACCAGTTAAATTGCTAGCCAGGAAAGGGGGCAAATAAGTCAAACAGAAAACAAGCAGATAATGAAGTACTTGGAGAATTTATAGGATACAACATTTACCAGAAATAGAAAAAATACATAGGTAAAAAAATAAAAGCAAGGCCTATTCAGCTTCGTAAGGCCAGCTTTGATTAGTTCTCAGGCTTTCCACTGGAGAGAGAGAAAGGGGTGTGTGTGTGTGTGTTTGCACGTGTGCACACGCAGGCGTGTGTAAGGATGAAAAGGGCACGGGGGGAAAAGTCCCTGCAAACAGCTCCTTGTTGTTTGCAGAAAGTAACCTGACCCATCAGGTTATCCCCCGTGGTGGTCATATTTTCATCTAGCTCCCTTATTGGGAAACAAAATATATCTCACAAGACATTCTCAGCCTCCCTAGAACTTCTGGTGTCATCAATTTGCCTTCAGAGTCCTGCAGGGTTAAGAAGAAAGTGTGGAAGTCTTGCTACAGCAGAGAGATTTAATGATTAACTGTGGGGTTGACAGGTGTCCAGAACACCCAGTAATCTTGACATTTTGATGTCAAAATAAACTTACTGGAAGCAGGTATGTGGGTTTAAAAGACATGTCCATATGGTGTCTGCTTATTTCACATGAGGAGTCATTTTTATGATCTATAGTGCGTTTCCAAAATACTTAAGCCATGACTCAGAGACCCACTCAGACTGGGCAGACCAGTGCCAGTAGCCCACAGGCTGGGAGCAGGTCCCTGGCTGGGCTAGATCAGGGAGGACAGGCAGAAAGCCTTTAAGTGCTGCAAGATCCTGTGTTCTACCGGCCTCATGGGGCATTTAAAAAACATGACACATCTCATTAAAATCAACTTTAATTTGGTGGATATAAGATTTTGCGAATGCTATTAATCCACTCAACCACTGAGTGTAATACAGTGGGAAAGCACCAGGCAGGGATCAGGAGACTTGGCCCCATCCAGCTGAGTAGGTCACTTGCCTTCCCCACCCCGGCCACCTACCTAGGGCTAACTTTAGATGACACTGAGGCATGCCCCAGGAATTGAAAAATGAGGGAAACAAGAACAGTTGTTGAAAATGATTAATTTCACACAAAGTATATCAGAGTAGAAATCTTTAAAATGGTCTGAAAGGGAGTCTAATTTCCTGGATAGTGTCCATTTAAAAGATGAGCAATGAAAATATAGAACACAGGGAAACAGAGCCGTCCATCTGAGTACTGCTCAGTGGAGAAAGCGCTCTGAAGGGTTAATGGGGGTTTGAGGCACCTGGCAGGTGGACCCCTGTGTAGGGAGGCGCTGGGCAATATTAAACCTGGAAGACCCACAGACACTTCCTCCTGAGGCTAAGCTCCACAAGAACCCTCCTAATTACTAGTTGGCTTCTCATGTAGCTTATCTAGAGGAAGAAATTATGTTGGCCAGAAAATGCAAGTGTAGTGTCACCTTGGAAGTTCTAGCTGAAATTGTGCGCTAGGCTGGGTGTGGTGGCTCACACCTGTAATTCCAGCACTTTGGGAGGTCAAGGCAGGCAGATCACCTAAGGTCAGGAGTTCAAGACCAGCATGGCCAATATGGTGGAACCCCCTCTCTACTAAAAATACAAAAATTAGCCAGGCGTGGTGGCACACGCCCATATTCCCAGCCACTAAGGAGGCTGAGGCAGGAGAATTGTTTAAGCCTGGGCGTTGGAGGTTTCAGTGAGCAGAGATTGCGCCACTGCACTCCAGCCTGGGTGACTGAGTGAGACTCCAACTCACAAAAAAAAAAAAAAAATTAAAAAATTGTGTGCTAATAAAAATGTTAGTCTCTTGTAAATTTTTTCTGACTTTACCATTTACTAGCTGGTGTCCTTGGGCATGTTACTTTCCTCTAAATCTCAGATTCCTCATCTATACAAGGGAAAATACAACCTCACCATTCTCCTGGGTTTGCTGTGAGAGCTTAGTGATTAAAGCATGTATTTAGCACAGTGCTGGGCACATAGTATTGTCCAATAAATGTCAGCTAGTACTGTCACTGTGTTCTTTTCCCTTCCTCTTTTCTCTTCTGCCTGCTTCTTATCTTTCCACCCATGTACGCTCCACCTGTCTACTCACTCATCTACCCAGCCCAGCCAGCCAGCTAACCATTCAAGTAAATTTAGCAGTCATTTACCATCCAGTAAAATGTTTTAGGGACCAGGGAATGGGCTAGACACTGAAGCTTCAAAGATAAATTATACATAGTTCATTTCCCCAAGGGCTCACTCTCTTCCAAACACTGGAGGCTGCCATCCTCTAATATAAAGAACATGTAATAGGTGCAGCTGTATTGAACACTTTGATGTTATTATCGATGGTGAGTATCAGTCTCCCTGGTGAACTCTAGGATACAGATAAAATTGAGTCTCTGAACCTGTAAAGCTGAGGGATGATCTCCAAACCTTAATGAATCAGCAGTCTTATTAAGCCTTTTAGAAGCCAGGCCTCTCGTGGTGACATTCCTCTGTATTTCCTTTTACTATGATTCCTCCGTGACAACTTCTACACTATGCATTATGATTCAAAATGTTTGCACATGACAAAATCTGGCTTTAGTAGAATATTTGATGTTGGTACCATAACCCTTTAGGCCAGACTGTCCAAGTCCTATGGATAACATATTTCCAAATGTCTATTATTCCCCTTATGTAAGTTTTCCCTTAACACTATTTTCATCCCTGCCATCCCTGGCCCCCTGCCCAGGAGATTAGAAACCATAACACAGCATCTATTCACTATAAGGTGCTGTTGGGACTGAGAGCATTTGCCTTCCTGCAACGATATTAACAAACTCAAAAGTCCTTGAAGAAAAATGTTTCAGTGGTCACCACCTTTACTCGTGTTTCCACCTAGACTCTCTGAAAGACAGGGTGGGAAGAGTTTTCCACAACTATAAATGGATTTGAAAACTCAGTGAAGAAAATTATCTGTCTCTATGGAGAGCCAGGGTGACATGACAGATAATTAGCAGGACGACCTGTTTCTCTGAGATGGGAAGCTTAGCCATATCAAGGACTTAAAGCCCCCAGTCCTTCTTATATCCCCTAGTGAATTCATTCTCTGCAAACAACCAGCTCTGCCAACTGATAGTGACTTTCACCTTGAATCCTTCAAAGTCACCTTTCTTTGAAAATCCCTTCACTATGACACAGAATAATAATAGCTTTGCTAACTTGGCTGCAGTTCATAGGATATGTTGGGTTGGAAGTGAGTTGAAACCCAGAAGAACTGACCTGTCCAACAGGATCAAGCCTTGAATATGGATGTGCCTCATATACTGTCTTTCTTCAAGGGCAATTACTCATTTTCTCCTTTAGAGTATAGAGCCTGAGCAACTAGAGAGTTTTCCTGATATATATTTAAGTGGATAGAGAGTTTAGGGCAAAGTGGGAGAAATGCTTCTCCACTGGTATATTATGCTGAAATATTTTTTGTTGATGTGCAGTGGTGCTTTGTGTAAGAGGAAAAGAGAAATATGTGCTGAACAGGGCAATGGCTTAACAAAGGGGCAAGTTACCCAATCTATTTCCTGAGACCTGGGCTGATGGCTACTGAATTTCAAGGGTGTTATTACTTGTAATCCACAAATGCTCCCCTTGACTAGCCTTAGGGGCCTGTTTTTAAAATAAGCCTCTCAGAGTAAATTGGCATAAGTAGAAAATTTGCCCTTAACTTTCCTTCCCAGTAGGCAGTAATTTCACTTAAATTTCCCATAGTTTTTACTTACATATTAACCAGTTATCAGGCTCGAGGAGGAGGAAAAAGCTTCCAGAGAACTTCACAGGAGAGGCCCAGGGTAAAGGAGAACCAGGAGATCCACCAGAATGGAGAAGCTTGAGAGGACAAGCCCCTGCCACCGAAGAGCTGCCACTGATTCCGAAAACTGAATTTAAGCTGATTCTCTTGAGCAGTTCCCAATCCTTTTTCCTTACTGTTCAGTCTTGTTCCAGAAGTAGCAGACAAGAGAGTGCCAGTGTGTCCTTTCCTATCTCAGTATGCTTTAGGACATCTCACTTCATCAAAATAGCATAGGCCTCATGTAGCTCAGAGGGCTGAAACTGGCATGCGGCAAATCAGGTGAAGAATTGGTGCCATTCAGGTGTCTGCTTGATGCCCAAGCCATAAACATAGAGGGTTTCATCTCCGCCAGGCACAGCCTATAAATAGGGCTGGCTATCTCTTTCCTCCCTATCTCTCCACCTTAGTTTTCTTCTGACTCTTTTTTCCCAATAACAGTAATAATAGCTAACATTTACTGAACACAGTTCATGTTAAATGTGTGCTGAGCACCCGACTTACTACTTCATTTAATATACCCAAATCCTATAAATGCTATCATTTTCATCATCATCATCGTTATCATTAAGAGGTTTACGGACTTGCATAATTACATGGAAGAGTTAGGGTTTGAATCCAGGTAGTTTGATTCAACGTTCACATATTTTACCATCTCACCAGTTCACCTTAGCTCTATGTAGAATGTTGAGTCATGAGAAAAAGGGAGCAGTTTAATTATTCTGGAAGATGTAGGTTTGTTTAAAGCATCGGGTTTTGTGGTAATAAGCTAGAGGAAAGTCAACTGAATTGCAGCATGAAAAATGTAGGTTAGCAATAAAGAAGAACTTCTTGAAGGCAAAGAATATTTAAAATTGCCATTCCATTATCTTTTTGGATCGGTATAAGTCATGAGAAACAACATTAATACATATGTTTTCAGAGTTGTTTAGGTAGTCACTCCTAAAGCAGAAAATCAATCACCGGCACTTTCCAGACACATTAGATTATTGGTGAATGAATTTCTGGTATTAGTGTTTCCGGCTCTGTCCTTTCACAGCACACGCAGGGAAGTACTCCCTTAGCCCATTAGTCTGCCACTTTTTCTCATTCATCTCTGTGCTTTTGGTTGACTGAGAATTCTTAACAAATAGAATGGCTTCCCCTAACTGCCAGTTCACAGATCAATTGGTAGTGGCTGCCTCTATTGCTGAACCGAGAAGAACTGGCAAGCCAAAAGAACGCAGGCTCTATTTCCTCTGTCTGCCATGGACCAAGGAAGAGTGCATTTGCCAACTGTGCGGAGCATAAGTTGCCTCCTTTATAATGTGCAGAGAGCAGATGATGGGGCAATGAACACGAAAATGAGTTGGGGGCCTGAGGCAGCATGTTGGTGGAGTGTGGAGGGAAGAGCTTTGGGAGCCAGACAGACTTGTGTTGAAATCCCTCTAAATCACAAATTAGCTCTGTGACCTTGAATAAATTATTGAAGCTTCCTGAGCCTCAGTTTCCACATCTTAAAAAGCATCCATTTATAGCTACAAAAAAAGGCGTGCAATGAAAGTGACTATTTATATCGTTTTTTAAAATAAATGTCCTTGCCTGATTTTAATCATAATCTGAACTCATTTTATGTTTCTCTATGTATTACTAAATTCCTCCCTCTGTTGTAGTCAAGCTGGGCCACTCAATGTGGTACTTTTTTGTTGCTTTATCTAGAATATTTCTCTCACCCCACAAAATCCCCTCCTACTATCCTCTAAATTCCATATTGTCTAAGAAACTTTCCCTCGAAGAGTCTCACCCACCTCTCGCCCTTTTAAACTTCAAAAACACACAAGATTCTTTGTAATCCAGCCTCCATTCACTTCCCCAGGCTCATCTCCTGCCACACACCTTCCAATTTAGGCATCAGAAATGCCAAATCACTTACAGTTCCAAAAGTTACTATGCTGCTTTTTGTGTCTGATTTTTGGAACTGGTTTCTTCGTCTAAAATGCGTGTCGACTGGTGAACTCCTACTCATCCTGAACTTCTTGTAAGTGGTGTCACCTCCTCTACATAAAGCATCCCCTGAAGTCCTCTCCCTCTGGCCTACCAAAACTCATTACCCATATTTCTGCGTTAATTTGGCAGCTTCTGCATTTGTTATCATTGCCTTCATCATACAATGTTATAAATCACTTATTCACATCTATCCAGATATAAACTCTTCGAGAGTAGGAGCAATGTAGTATGTTTTTGTTGTTGTGATTTTTTGGTTTTGTTTTGTTTTTTGAGATGGAGTCTCCCTCTGTTGCCCAGGCTGGAGTGCAGTGGTGTGATCTCAGCTCACTACAACCTCCGCCTCCCAGGTTCAAGCAATTTTCCCTACCTCAGCCTCCTGAGTAGCTGGGATTACAGGCACCTGCTACCACACCTGGCTAATTTTTGTGGCTTTTTTTTTTTTTTTTTTCAGTAGAGACAGGGTTTTGCCATGTTGGCCAGGCTGGTCTCGAACTCCTGACCTCAGGTGATCTGCCCACCTAAGCCTCCCAAAGCAGTGGGATTACAGGCGTGAGCCACTGCACCCGGCCTGTAGTGTGTATTTTTTATGGCCAGGCTGTAGTACAGTGCTTGGCATACATTAAGGAGGGGCTCAAAAACATTTGAAGACTTGACCTAAATATCACACATATCTGAAATGCTATTTTGCTTTTGATTATATATTCTCTTAGTCTGTTCTTATGCTTATCTGTCTAGACTTCTCAATAGGTTGTAAGTACGTTGGAGGCAGAAGCAGCCTTGGTTTATACTTGAATCTCCTAGAGGGTGAGCATTTACTAGATAATTGTCAGGTGAGATGATGCAATAGATAAGAGGATGGAAATGGATTTGCAGCAAGAAAGCGAGTGGATCCCTACCCCTCACAATCATGAGGCTGGCAACAACTCTTCCAAACACACAGAAAAAAACACACAGGGCTGACCATACATTTGTCCTTCCTAGACAGCCTGGAGATCTTATTGATAAGGTCAAATTCATACTTTTGGATAGATCAGGAGTAGAAAGAAAGCACACGTTCCGAAGTTTAATTCAATTTTTATAAACCTCTCCCTAATTCCCTCTTAAAGGCCATTGTATAGCCCACTAGGGAAAGGTATTTTGCTTTCAGCAATTACACATATTTTGCAAGTGCTAATCGTTCTGCAGGAAAAAAAAAAAAGAAGGCAGAAGGGGAAAAGAAAAACAAAGAAAAGTGAGAGAGGGGAGAGCTGGTTTGAAGGGATTTTATCTAATTTCATTTTAATTAGATCCTTTTTCTAACTGAGTTTCTAATTTTTCAATTAGCAATTAGCAGCTGCAACTCATTCTGAGCATCACGAGGTGCCAACGACACTAATTACACCACAGGAGTAGGAGGCTGGAAATGAGAAATAAAATTATCCATGAATGTTATTAGAAGAAAGGAATGATTACTCTCCGTAATAATATACTGATGTGAGCCTAATTAGATTGAAGGATTCAGAGGGAAAAAATGAGATTTAAAAATGGATCACATTTAGATGCCTTGAGGTCATAATTTTGCTATAAATATTACTTTAGAACATCACACTTGAAAACAGGTTTGCAAGCTTGATGATGTTTATGTCAGGTTGTTCAGCAATGACCCACATCCCTAGTATACAATAACCCAAAACATCAATGACTTCTGAAATACCAATACTCTTCCTGTAAAACGTGTCTGAGATTTCAAAAATAAGCACTCATGCACATGCACAGAAATAAACAATGCAATGAAAATAAGACCCAGGCACTGGGAAATACCGAAGCCAAGATGCCATTTTTGGCATCGTAAATCAGGGGTGGAGTTTTTAGCCACGAAATGAAAAGCCATGTGTCTGTAGTTTCCCATCTGTTGGTTCAATTAGTTTCCTTCCTCCTATGACAGTGTCAAGCCTGTGACTGTGTTTCAGGGAAGACAGGTGCAAGCTGATGGCTCCCCATATCTAGAAGCTGCTGATTTGAAAAACACTCTAGTCAAGAAAAATGTAGCTTTCTATTAGCAAAGCAGCCACACAGACCATCCATACTCTCAGAGAAGAGCTAATTTTCTGGCTGTGGTCACAGGCAATCAAAACTATCATATTGATCCTCAAGAGCGATTCCTAATTAGCTACAGAGTAATCTCCTAGATTTCCCCAAGGCCAGAGTGCCTGACCGTGGCATTAGTGGGCTGGACAGAACCACTAGCCCTGACCCCAGGCCCCTGTGCCACGTACCACGGAGGAATTGGACCAGGATGAGTAAACACTCTGGGAACTTCTGTGCACAGTAAGTTGCTTCCTCGCAGAAGGAGATAATACCATTTCCCCCCCTTATCCTCCTTTACTCCTTCTTATCTTGGGAGAAAGGTAAAAAGTTTTGAAGGAAAGCATAAAATTCAGCAAGCAAGTTAAGTCCAGGCATCTGCCTCACCTTCCGATAAACTTCCTGAAAATCTTCCCTCAATTCTCCTGTCTCTTCTCATTCCCTCCCGGCTTTTCCCGTTTCTTAATGATTTCAAAATGCCTTGACCCATCTTCTGAGCTCTATCCTGGCAATTTTGACTGTATTTGCAGCAGTTTCAGCGGTTGGTTCTATCAGCACCTTCAAATCAGTATCACATTTATTTTGCTCCCTATTTGCACCCCAACATGCCCCTCAAGCTGCACTCTTGTCAATGACTGGCCATCCTCCCAGGTGCCCAGACTCCTATTATTGAAGTAATCTTTGATTCCTCTCTTCTCCCCTTATCTCCAGCTCCTGCTAGTTCTGCCCAGCATTTCTCCCACAATGCTTCTTTTCTTCACATCTGATGCCCCTGGGTAGGTGTCCCTTGTTTCTTACTTTAGCTTCCTAACTAATCCCCCCCCGACAAATGCCTCCTACCTTATACCTCCAGCTTTGTCTTCCTGCAAAACTGCCTGGATCGTACTATTCCCTGCTTGGACTAGTCAGTGTTTGCTGTGGAAAAAAGCTGAAACTCCCAAGTTTCCATGTATGTTCTTGCTTCAGCCTACATTTTGGATATGATATTTTCCTTTTCTGATTAAATATCCTATGTTATAGCTGAACGAATGTATACGGTCATTGCCTTACTCATGCTGCACCCTTTAGCTGATATTCCCACACATATTTCCAGAGAGTCAAATCCTATCCATTCTGGAAGATCCAGCCCAATGATGGTAATATTCCTAATCTTCCTTTGCATGCATATAGGATTTTTAATTTTCAAAGCAAGTTCACATCTATGGAGTTTATTTAAGCCTCATAAGAGCCCCAAGAAAAGCAGGATAAATAGGCATTCTTGGCCCCCTTTTATAGAGGAGGAAACTGAGACACAGGCAGGATCGGTGAAGTGCCTGGTAATCAAGGGTAGACCAGACACACACCTGCTGATTTTCAGCAGCTGCTCTTTCCTTCAAGCATTGGCAACGCTCAGAGCATGCTTGGTTTTGCTCTGCAATCACTTGGATGGAGTCTTGCAGTCAAACAACTGCCCTCCTGATGGAACCTGGAAAAATTGATGAGCTCCCATTCCTTGGGCGGCCTATCTATCTTTATATATCTCAGCACATTTGCCACTAATTATATTTCTCTTTATAATGTGAGATCTCCCGTTAAGTAAGGTAATTGATGACCCCTGAAAAATATCACTAATTCCAGAATGGCCCAGAAGTATTTTGTCATGCTGTTTCCTTTTCCATTTCTCCACCCCTGGTGTTAGAATGATTAAGATGCCACATGCATCAGAGGAAGAAAACAGTATGAAAGGCCAAAAAGGATAGTGTCTGTATATATTAGAAGAGGGAGAGTTTTAGGGAAGAAAGTTAGTACTTTATTTTATTTTTAAGACAGAAAAAGGCAAAAAAAAAAAAAAAAAAACCAAAACAAACAAACAAAAAACTAACAACCTCTCTGAACTTTAATTTCCTCTAAAAAATGAGGGTTCTAATGGTATATGTATCTTGCAAAGTTGGCATGTGAATCACAACAAATGTGATAAAAGATATGCATATACTTTTATTTTGTAATATAATGCATTATACAAATTTTTGAAATGTATAATGGTTTCATTTATACATAGATATAGACATAGATATGTGTATGCATATATTTGTATGCACACACAATGAATATGAATGTGCATGCATATTGCATTATATGCTTAAGAGAGCCTAACCCCCTCCACACACTGGGGCTTCCTTTTTTCAAGCCCTATCTTTATCCAGGTGGGAAAATGCCTCAAAAGCCTTAAGTCAGATCAAGCAATGATCACCAGTTAATGCACAGAAATAACTAAATGGGACTCATGTTCCTCTTGTTTCTGGGCAGGGTGGAGGAGGAAGAAGTCTTTAATCTTCTGAGTTGTGCCTTATTAGGCAGCAGAGAGATGCTCTCTGACTTGGCACGTGGCCTGTGATCTTCCAGGATGAAAAGTTCTGTCTGAATGCAGGCAGGGATGATTTGCTAATCAAGGATGAGACAGAGCAAGTGGCATGCCCAACAGGACAGGGACAGCCAGGCTGAGGCCACCCCCTTCCTATTGATTTATATTTCTATTCACTGTTCTGAAATGTGGAGAGCTCATAACCCTCCGGAAAGACCGTTTCAGCTGCTGGTGGGGAGTTAGTGTTTCAGGAATGAGGGTGGTGAGGAGAAGCCTTTGCTCTGAAACTTATGTGGTCTGGAAACTTCAGGATCTTATCTTCCTCCTTCTCTTCTCTCCTCCTCCTTGTCTTTCCTCTCCTCCTCTTTTTCCTCCTTTTGCTGTCAGTTGCCTAAGGGAAGGGATCTTGGCCTTAGCTGCTAAGTTGCCAGGGTTGTTCAGGGAAGGCTAAAAGATGCAGGAGGCAAGAGGAAGCCCAAGGCCTTTCTTGTCTCATCAGTCTTTCCGGGTCCTGGGCTGAGGCAGACAGGATGGCTCGGTGAGCTTGTGACAACATTCCAGGCCTGCAGCTCGGATGGCAGCTGTCCATGGCAGGCCAGACTTTGGAATATCTCACTAGAACCTTGCTTGTCTCACAGCCCCCACCCCGAAGCTAACACCCTTTTGTCTCCAGCTGGTCCTTGGCCCCCTGCTGTTCTCATTTGTGATTTTATTTTCCCTGAATGCAGGGAGTTACTCAGAGCTGGGCTCTTGTCCAACTGGTCCTGCACGATCTTTTTCTTCCCCGGGATGCTAGCTCCTCTTCTTGAGGATTCTTGCTGGGTCTGCCTTCCCTCTCTCCATCTGGTGCTGTACGCCCGCTGAGTGGGCCCTGCAGGGCTGGAGTTGGCTAGGCTGGGCAGCCAGCAAGCCAGCAAAGCCCCTACAGCCGTGAACCGGGAATCCAGGATGCCTACTCTGCCAGTCTATGTCAAAAAGACAAAACACCTAGAGAGGTTTAAAAACATTCAGGAGAAGAAAAAGCAAGCGCACAGCATGAGAGAGCTTTGTCCAGCCAGCACTTTTACTAGCAATAAATCTGCCTTAAAATGTATAAGGATATACAGAAAAAGAAAATTGAGCAAATCACTTTGGTGGAAACCCATTTCTCCCGCACTCGGCCATTTCTCTGCATCAGCTCTTCACTCTCCCAGGGAGAGCTCCCAGCCAAGTAAGACAACAGTGTAAACAAAAGTCACCCCAGGCCCAAAACCAAGTTTCCTGCAGGGCACTGTCTGCTGCGGCTGGCAGAACCTACTGGGTTTCTGGCTTTGTGCTGACCTTTGCAAGTGTGCTTCAGCTGGAAAAATCAGACCTATCTATCTATCTCCATGTTGAAGACCCCCCCCGGGTTCAGGCTATACAGGGTGGACAAGGTCCAAGTGTCTCATCCTTCCTGATCCTGAGGACGGTGGTGGTTTCTGGAGGAGTCCAAAGTGATCCCAGCCATACTGCCTGGGAATGATTGCTTACCACCCAGGAACAGAACCTGGGGTCTATTCTCTGCAGCTGGATCTATGGAGGTCAGACGAGTCTGCTATAACATATTTTGTTATGTGAAATTGTAGCACGACAAGCTGCAGACAAAACTCCTCAGACACGGAGTCAAAGAAGGAAGAGGTTTATTCGGCCGGGAGCATCGGCAGGACTCCTGTCTCAAGAGCCAAGCTCCCCAGGTGAGCAATTCCTGTCCCTTTTAAGGGCTCACAACTCTAAGGAGGTCCGCGTGAGAGGGTCATGATTGATTGAGCAAGCAGGGGGTACGTGACAGGGGCCGCGTGCACCGGTGGTCAGAGTGAAACAGAACAGACCGGGAAGTTTTACAATGTCTTTCTATAATCTATAAATAACATCAGTTGCTAAGTCAGGGGTCGAATTTTAACTACCAGGCTTAGGTCAGGCAGGCCCAGGCCTGGTTTCAGGTCTGGTTTTCAGGTCTTGGTTTCGGGTCTGGTTCCTAGGCGCCAGCCTACCTGCCTTTAGTTTTGCTTCTCTTGCCTTTTCTGAGGATAAAACAACATGAAAGGGTCTGTCTCTCTTCTCTCAAAATAAGCCAGGCACAGAAATACAAATACTGCATGGTCTCACTCATATGCAGAATCTAAAAAAGTTGATCTTGAAGGAATTCAGAAAATGCCGCCCCAAAATGTATTGTTTTAGACTTAAAACTGAGGGCACTTAGGAATAGTAAATGCAGAAAGGGGCTTCCTCTGAACTTCCTTAATGTACCTAAAGACAGATCCTCCAAGAGGAGCACAACTGTCATGAATGCCCTCCCAGGGAATCTCATCAACCAAGGAAGATTAAACTCAGATCACAGCAGAGGAGCCGGGAGGTTGATGCCAGGACCAGACAGACTTTGTCACAGGCTGTCACCTACTTCTCTGGAGGGCTATTCATCTTTAATTATTTATTTATTTTTAATTTTTTTTTAGAGACAAGGTCTCTCTCTTTCTTCCAGGCTATGGTGTGGTGGTGCAATCATAACTCACTGCAACCTTCATCTCCTGGGCTCAAAGAATTCTCCCACCTCAGCCTCCCAAGATGGGACTACAGGTGCACACCACCATGCCTGGCTGATTGTTTAATGTTTTTGTAGAAATAAGGTCTCACTATGTTGCTCAGGCTGGTCTCAAACTCCTGGCCTCAAGCAATCCTCCTACCTCAACCTCCCAAAGTACTAGGATTATAAGTGTGAGCCATTATGCCTGGCTCCATTCACCTTTTCCAAAAATCACTTAAACTAGGCTAAGTCGCTTACATCCCCCATGCCTTCTCTCCTACAAAGAAGGTGTATACTCTTCTAGATCTCACTGGGATTTGGGGTATTCTCTTTTCCTTCATGTGATGCCCCCATGCGTGTAATACCTTTGTATCATAGTCCCCCCTTACCCACAAGGAATACATCCCAAGACCCCCAGTGGATGCCAGAAACTGTGAAGAGTATTGAACCCTATATATTCTATATATTTTCCCATACAGTAATGGGCAGGTAGCATCTACAGTATGAATACACTGGACAAAGGGATGATTCATGTCCCTATCAGGACAGAGTGGGATGGCACAAGGTATCATCATGCTACTCAGAATGGAATGCAATTTCAAGCTTAAGAATTGTTTATTTCTGGAATTTTCCATTTGATGTTTTGACTGAGGTTAACAAACTGCAGAAAGAAAAATCAAAGATAAGCTGGAACTACTGTGTACTTTTTCTCCTGTTACTCTGCCTACTGTCTGTTTATTTCATAGACTCAAATATTGAACCCTCAGAGGGTAGAGAGTCTTCCCTGTGTCTAGAATGGTGATTACCAGGAAGTTGAGAATAGAATGGTGGTTACCACGGGTGGAGCAGTGGTTGGGGAAGGGCTTGGGAGCTGTTATCAAAGGTTACAAGATCTCAGTTAGATAAGAGGAAGAAGTTCAAGAGATCTAGTGTACCAAATGGTGACTGTTGTTAATAAAACACATTGTATTCTTTAAAAATGCTGAAAGGGTAGATTTTTAGTCTTCTCGCCACAAAAATGACAATTATATGAGATAATGCCTAGGTTAGTTTGATTTAGCCATTCCATAATGTACATATTTTAAAGCATGATTATGTACATGATAAATATATACAATTCCATCTGTCAATTAAAAATAAAATAAAATATGTCTGCAATTCCCTTCAGGTATTCATCACTAGCTATGCAAAACTGGAATTTCATGTCCTTACACAATAAAGGCAATGTGCAATGGGCAATGCTTATCACATGTTTCTGAATGCAGAGCCCAGTGCTAATTTCTCAGGACAAGGCTCCTTACTCATCTGCTGAGCCCTTTACTCATTTACCTTTGTGATCATTTAGGCCACACCATTGGGCCCACATTGCTGTTTCTGCTACTCCAAGAAGATCAAGAGAGAGCCACCATAGCAGAATGAGATTCCAAGCCTTCTCATGCATCCCTCAGGGATCAGGCCTGGCCTTGGTCTCTAGAAAGCTCTTGCTGATTACTCTGGGAGTTTGAATCTCAGTGATCACAGTCTGCCCTGGCCTGATCCCAAGGGCACAAGCACACAGGAACCTGGAGGCAGATGTGTAACCTCAAAGAGAGTAATTATGTCCTAGCCAATAAATAAACAATCACTGGAACAATTAGTGCTCACCCCTTTGAAATTTGCATCTCACCTCAGAACAATCTTGCTCTTCAACCTTGTCAATACGTTGATATGTTATAAATAAGTGGTTTTACTGGGATGAGATGCAAGCTATCTTGAAGCTAACTAAGCATGACTAGAATACACTATCTCTCACGTCCCAGGAAGTTATTTGCATTCTGATACAAACTGATGCTAGATTCCTAAACCTAATCATGATCCTCAGCTGCAGTAAGGACCACTGACCTACTATGTTATTGTGAAATATATATTTGGACCTCTTTCTCCACATTTCCTGGCCCACACCTCCTAAAACCCTTGGGATCTCTGGAATAAGAAAAGTGATTTTTTGTATGCTAATGAGATGACTGGTGGCTGGCAACCCCTATATAGCTTTCAAAATACCAAGGCATGATTAGAGGATTGAGTTTTTAGCCCCACCACCCAACCTCCTGGCAGGAAAGAGAGGAAGAAGACTAAGTTGATTACTAATGGTCAATAATTTAATCAATCATGCCTGCATAATAATGCTTCATAAAAACCCCAAAGGACCTGGTTTGGCTAGCTTCTGGCTAGCTGAACATGTGGGGGCTTCTGCAGGCTGGTGCCCCCGGAAAAGGCATGGAAGCTTCAAGCCCCTTCCTTCATATATTACCCTAACATTTCTTCCACTGGCTATTTATTTGTATCCTTTGTAATATCCTTTATATTAAATAGGTTAAAGTAAGTACACTTTTTCCCTAAGTTCTGTGAGCCATTCTAGCAAATTAATTGAACAAGAAAGGGTCATGGGAATCCCTGATTTATAACAAGTGGGTCAAAAGTATAAAATGTCAATCTGCTACTTGCAACTAGCATCTGAAATTGGGGGTAGTCTTGTGGGACTCAGCCTTCAACCTGTGGAATCTGACACTTTCTCCAGGTAGATAGTGTCACAATTGAATTGCATTGTGGAGGATACCCAGCTAGTATCTGCTATGGAATTGCTTGGTTGGTGCGTGGGGAAAAACCCCCATGTGTTTTGGTGACCAGAGGCAAAGTGTTCTATGTTATAGTGACTGTGTGAGCGTAGAGAAAAACACTTTGTGTTTTTTTTTTCCTATGTCTTATAGACCCACTAATGGACTAAGTAATGTTTCTGTTGGTGACTCTAAGCAAGGAAAACAAATAAGGCAAAGAAGGAGGTAAAAGAGACAAGTAAGACATCTGAGAACCTGCAATGACTCTTGGGAAGACATCAAAGCAGAAAAAGAAAGAAGTGGCAAGTGACAAAAGAGGTGCAATGTTTTAAATGTTTGCCCCCTGCAAAACTCATGTTGAAATTTAATTCTGCCCTCATGGATGGATTTATGCATTATGTTGGGAGGGATTTTATGATATTGGGAGTGGGTTTGACCCCTCTTACTCTCTCTCACCCTTCTGCCTTCCACCATGAGACAATGCAGAAGGAAGACACCAACCAGATGCCAGACCCTCATCTTAAACTTCCCAGCTTCCAAAACTGTGAGGAAATAAATGTCCATTCTTTATAAATTACCTATTTTGTGGTATCCTGTTATATAGCTGCACAAACAGACTGAGACAGGAGGTATATGTCAGGGTGCAGTAGAGAACCATTCACTGCATTAGGGGGTTCCCTTCCATGGCACTTTTTGCCTGCTTTATTAATTTAATACAAAGAGATCAGGCACCAATTACAGGCAAGACCCACTAGTAATCTTCAGCAGTGGGATACAGAAATGAACAAGATGTATGGTTTCTGCTTTCAAATTGCATACAGTTCAGTTGGGGCTAAATTATAGACACAAATACTAATATTATAAGTTAGATTTTACTACATTCACCATAGAGGTAGGTTTTAGAATTTCAAAGGAGAGGTTCTTAGCCAGGGGTGGGAAATTTTATGGAGGAGCTGGATTTTGACAATTTTATCTATGCTAAATGAATGCCCTCTTTCCGGGAACTAAGGAATTTTACCTTTCTGGGGATTCATGGCAAGAAGATACAATCCTTGATCTCAGAAGACATTGTGATACACAATGACAGATACGTTGATAATGAAATGTAAAACTGCTTCCAGAAGCTTCTAGGTGTTAAGTTTGACCACATCATGCATCTCATTTCCACATTGTCTTCTATGTCTATATCTGGCCCCCTCCTCAACTATCCTAAGCATTTAGAGCATCTCCTTTCCCTATAAAAGCCATCATAGTTTATGTTTATGGCTATGTGTTTTGTTTCTGCAAATCTAATTGTTCCTTAAGAGTAAGGATTATGTCTCAGAGCCTCACAGGAAGGCACAAAGGAAGATGTCAGCAAACGCCATAGAACTATTAATTACTGACAATTCACATGCCACACTGTTAAATGAGGAAAGGGAGGAAGGAAGAGACCAGACCACTGAGGCATTAAGAGAACAAGGATCCAGCATGGATCAAGCAAATCCCACCACCCTTAGCTATGAGACCAAGTCCCAGCTCTGTCACTTGTTAGTTGTGTTGTCTTAGACAAGTCAATTTACTTCCTAAGAAGCCCTGCCCTCTTCTATAATAACATGTCTGTTGGATTTCATTCATTCCCAAATACTGAAGACAGTCTGCAACAAAATTTTCTGGGAAATTGTAAAATACAGATGAATAAGCCCACAGAGGGTGAGCCGAAATTTCTCTATTTATAAGATCTCTGAATGAATCTAATAAAGAGTGGTATCTGCAAATCAGAGGACTAATGCTCATGCTGTAAGATTCTTCCACCTGTTACATCAAGAACACTAACATTTCTTATTGTGATGTAGAAACAGGGTGATGGCCTTCTGAAAGCCAGCACGTAATGACAGCATGAAATATTTTACTTGTTAATTTTTTGTTTGTCTGTTTTTCAGATGTTTTTGACCTTCGTGGAGAAGAAGTTTGGTGGTGGGGCAGGAGCAGAAGTTAGAACTCGGGATTTCTTTGTTCACCTTGGCTGCGAAGCCACCCATATATGACCAGTGTTGAAACTCATTGCACCAGGCCAACCAATTAGTCTGTATTGGCCCCATAAACTTTGAGCTGACAAGTATCAAGTGAAAGGTTCTTGAGAATAAGACTGAAAAATCCTTCTTACTTCCCCCTACAAAAAAAATTCTCCAGCCCCAGAATGTTATTCCTTCCCAAGAAACACAAATTAACTAGCTGCACTAATGACCTCCAGACCAACACAAACCCATTTCCCCTTGAAATTAACCTTCTATTCTGAATCTAAACAGTGTCTAATTAGCCCCAAACACTGGTGAGCTAACTGGAAGAGAAGAATGTAGGAAATCAAAACAAGGGGATAGTTTTACGGTTGGAAAAAAAAAAATAGCGAAAAGCCATCCTCCAATTATCCTATCCTTCTAACCTCCGCCCCCAGATCCTTATCCTGCATCTTCATTTGTCTTCCTTTCCGTAAACCTTGTAAAGGAGTCTGCTTTTCAGACAAATATTTTTCCCAGCTCATTTGACACCTAGAAGGCAGGAAAAATATTGCCCATCACGATAAATATAATATTCCAATTTTCCAGCATTTGACAGCAATCAAGGGAAGAGTAATGTGTTCCCTCTGTGACTAAATCATTTAGAGACCAAGGTATTCTGTCTCATTCTCATTAGGAAAAAAAAATATTCCAATAATCTCATTATCCCAGTGTGAATAACAGTAAAAAAGCACCAAGACTAATGACTTCTTCCGCGCTTGCCTCCGCAGATACCAGCCCAGGCCGTGCTTTTATAGGCAATGCTTGGGTAATGGAGTCTCCCTTAGCAGCGATCCTGTAGCATCTGCTGCTCTGAAAGCCCTGCCTAACACATTCTGCTTTGTCTGCAGCAAGGTTTACACACACCCCTGGACTCCAAAGACTCTTTTTTATGTACTTTTTAAAAAACTAACTCCAATGGAAAAAGAATGTGTCATGGCATGTTAAACTTTATGGAAATTCTTCTGGAGAATAACATAATTTCACGGTGCATTACTCTGAAATGACCTAGTACTTGAACAATTAATTTTTAAGGTGTAGCATTGACTTCCCCTTGCTGTATTTAACCCATATCTGAAATTGTCAACAATGCCAAGGGTTGGACAATGAGTTGGGAGAAGAGCAGGAGCCTGAAAATTACTCCCTATCTACTATGTTTTCTTTTATCAGACATAATGCTTCCCTCTTTGGTTCAAAAATGAAAAGAGAAGGGAGCAGGTACTTTAGTTAGGGACACTTCATAGGCAGCACAGCCTGGCAGGTAAATAGTGCAGTCCTGGAGACATAAACTCGACGTCTTACCTTTGTCATTAATTTACTGTGTAGCCTTAGAGAAACTCCTTTTTCTCTCTGTAGCTAAAATGGGGGAAGGAGAGGTTTTGTTTGTTATGCCCCCAAAAGGAATTCAGTGATAGAAAATGAATAGATGTATAATATATCCTCTGATTCCTTGAAATAAAAGCTCTGAATGTTTTTTCTTTTTTTTTCTTTTTTTGCTGTCCTTTTTACACCTTATTTTTATCTCTACACTCTTGCATTCCTCACCTCCTTCACTGCACCCTCCCTGTCCTTAAACACACAGGTAAATGGAGAATTGGTATGCAAGAGCATCTTCTCAAGACTAGCATGAAACACTTCAAATGCATAGGAAAAAGCCATAGAGTGGTACAGTTGGAAAGAATCTTATAAAAGATTCCTGTGAATTTTTTCTCTTTGAGGAAAAAAAAAGACTCACAGAGGACAGATTTCTCCCAAGGTCACACAGTGGTTTACTGGTAGAACGACCACTTCCCAGTCTATCACTCTGCCCTCTAGGCCGAGTGAATGACACCATTATTGTTTTCTATTATAGAGTTCATGAAAGCAACACTGGACTTATATATACATGCATCAGAATAAAGGGATTTTAGGGTTTGAAAAAAGCCTTATAAATCACCAAGCCTGGTCTGCTGGGTGGGTGATCAATTGTCCAGGTTTGCCTGGAACGGAGGGGCTGTTCAACACACGGAACAGGAGAGCCCTGGGCCAACAGATTAGTTGGTCACCAAGCCTACCCCCAAATGACACTTAAATTTATTCTCCAACCTTCAGCATCCTAACATGAATCTCTTTAGCACTAGAGCATTTATGACATTCTCATTTAGTAAATTGCATTGCTGGAACTGTCACCTATAACTATAGGTCTTTATTCTGCCATGTGAGGTCCCACTGAACAATATAGAGGGTGGCTCTGTAGAAAACTGGCCACAGCCATTCCAACATGGGTCCTCTCTGCCGTATTAGAATCTGAAAAGACAATATAATTAAAAGCTACATGGACATGGCAAAACATTCTAAATTTGTTTCTCTCTCTCTTAGCCTTTGTTTGATAAGAGCAACCTCTTCTCTCTTACGGCCTACTTACTGGAAGCATTATTTAGTGACTGTATATATTGTTTTTTACTTATCTGAGATTTCAGTGGCTCATATCCCATTCTGGAACAGTTTTCCTTTTAGGGATTGGCCACAGGATGATCAGATAGCATGGGGGACAGATTTCTGAGGCATTAGAACAAACAAAAGCAGGGTTTTTTTTGGTAAAATCTTTCTGCAACCGAGATAACATTTCCAGCCACATATATCTAATAGGGCAACAACTCCTCCCAGATGAGAATGGCTTTTTTTTAGTACTCTGATTGGATGAGTGACTGCTGCAACCTCGCCATTTATTTCCTGGGAAACTATCTTGACGGGCTATTAGTTCTGTTCAAGGAATTGGTAATTACCTTCATCCCATAGGACAATGGTCATTTGGGTGATTTTTCAGCGGATGAAGACAAAGAGTTGAGTCCACACACACACACACACACAAAATTACACGAAGGAAAAATTTTGGTTGGGCCTTCTCTTCTTCCAATCTTCAGCTTTTCCCTTATCCTTCTCACTTTTTCAGGGAGCAGTGTTTTTCAGCTCCCCTTCAGCTTCCCAAAGCTTCCCCACTTTCTCATTGAATTTTCTCTCCTAAGTGTTACATGGTCCGAGTCACTATTACCACCCAAAAAAATTAATTAAAATGAAAAAAAAAAAATCTGTTCGTGATTCTAAGTATTCAAAAGAAAGCAATTTAATTGTCTGATTAAAGAAATTTATACTAAGGTGAGAATATAAGGTTTAACTTTCATAAGGGATTTTGTCTTAAAAAAGGAGTTAGCTAGAAAGCAAGTCTCTAATTGATGTTACAGATGTATAGGGAGAAGAGGGGTCTTTACTAAAGCTTGCCGATGCTGGCTAACTCTTTTCCCTTTCATCTTGTCCTGTTGAAAGCATCCCATTTATATATTATACTGGAATGGAAGCTGGCAGCTCCTCTGACTGCTTCTATTTTTAAAAAGAAAGAAAAATTATAATCACATACAGCCAGTTGCCTTGTAAAATAGCCCTCAATTTGGATCTGTTTGATATTTTTTCATAATTTTATTCAGCTTATATATTTTTGCATGAATATAACAAAATATATGCTGTATTCATCATGATGAAACATACCAGGAAGCACATAATGTCTATTTGTCCAATTACTGATGATATTAACTTGATTAAAATGGAGTTTACCAGCTAGCTTCACTATACAGTTAATTCATATTTTGTAATTATTGGTTAATAAGTAATTTGTGGAGAAACGCTTTGGCAGTACAAAAATATCTTGCTCTTATTCTAACTTTTACCCACACATTTTAACATCCATTGGTGATTCTTGTCTGAGTCATTTAATATTACGGTGATTGAAAAATGGTGATTTTTCTAATGCCTATATTACTTCAACACTTATCAGTTGGCATTTTACTCCAAGGTAGAACTATCTCTTCTCATCCATCCATTCAATTGTTTATATTAGTATGGGGTTACAGATTTCTTTTTTGCTGAGTAAGTCATAACCCATTATTTATTTTTATGTTCAAATTGTTCCAAATTGGGCCAGTAGATGTTCAAAGGAACAGATTCTTATATCCTTCTGTCATATCCCCATCACTCTGAGCACTTTCTTACTTTCCAACACATGAAAGTGTTGCAGACACATCTTGTACTTTCCATGACTCAGCTCAATCATCATTATTTCCAGGTGGAGGTGAGAGGGTCACTTCAGACCTGGAGTTGGAGACCAGCCTGGGCAACACAGAAAGACCCCATCCCTAAAAAAATAAAAAAATTAGCCAAGCATAGTGGCATGCACCTGTAGTCCCAGCAAGTTGGGAGACTGAAGCAGGAAGGTCACTTGAGCCCAGGAGACATAATCTGATTATGCCACTGCACTCCAGCCTGGGCAATAGAGGGAGACACCAAGTCTAAAAAAAAAAAGAAACAAAAACAAACATACAAACAAAAAACACAATGATTGTCTTTAGGAAGTCCTGGTTTCTTTTAGTGGATAAATGGTATTTAGAAAGCAAGATCTAAGTGTGTTTACTGCTCCTGAGTGTCATTGATTCTAGGTCCAGTCAATGGGCAAACCTCATAAATACTCATACACACACACCTACATCTACATTTATTTCTGTTCATCTCTATTTTGTGTCTATATGTATATTTTTTAGATACATAAGTAGGTAAATAAATAGACAGATAGATGTAAAACCATGAGTTCACACCAATACGTAAATTCCAATCCAACACTTAGAGTTTATTGTGGCCTCCCCTCTTTCCCTGTTTGTTTTCATTTTGAGACAGGGTCTTGTTCTGTTGCCCAGGGTAAAGTGCAGTGGTGTCATCACGGCCCATGCAGCCTTGACCTCCTGGGCTCCAGAAACCCTCCCACCTCAGCTTCCTGACTAGCTCGGACTACAGGCACATGCCACTATGCCCAACTAATTTTTTAATGTTTTTTTAGAGATGGGGTCTCACTATGTGGCCCAAGCTAGTCTAGAACTCTTGGGCTCCAGCAGTCGTCCCACCTCAGCCTTCCAAAGTGCTGGGATTACAGGCATGCACCAACATGCCCAGCCATATTTGTAACTTTGTCCTTTAATAGTAAAAAACTGGATGCCACTGTACTCAAAATATTTACTTATGTGCCCAATCTCTCTTCACTTAACCAGTCTCAGATCCTCTCTTGGCCACAGCCACACTGGTTCTAATCACCCAGATTTGCCTCCTTGGCCCCACCCTACTAGACTCTACTACCCCGGTTGAATACTTGGCCCTAATCCCACAAGACACATCACAGAGCTGGTCAGTTCTTCACACTCACCCTATATTGTTACAAATTTTTGCGTTAATAGTAATTAGTTTTTTACAACAATTTAAAAAGAAAGATCTTTTACATTTACCCATGGTTTTACCCTTTGTAGAGCTCTTCATTCCTTCTTGAAAAACCAGCTTCCATCTGATATCAGATAAATATCCTATGTTATTTTTGTAGTTCAGGTCTGCTGAAGACGAATTATCTCTGCTCTTATCTGACTGAAAATTTTAATAAATATAGAATTCTAGGTTGACAGGCTTTTTTTTTCCTTTCAGCACTTTGAAAATATTATTTAATTGCCTCCTACCTTCATTATTTCTAATAAGTGCACTTGGCATAATCAGCCAACATTCTTAATGTTGTTCCATTCATATTTGGTATTCATCAGTTTGATTATGACATATTTGTATCATTTATTTACACTTTGGAGTTTGCTAAACTTTTAGGATCTATGAGTTGATGTTTTTAATCAATTTTGAAGAATTCTAGACTATTATCTATTTAAATATTTCTTCTGCACTAGTATCTTGTCCTTTTCTCCTTCTGAAATTCTAATTATATGTATTCTTAACCTTTTGATATTGTCTGACAGGTCTCAGACATTCTGTTTGGTTCTGTTTCCGTTATCTTTTCTCTTTGATTTTCACTTTGGACAGTTTTCTATATTTCTATTGATAATGTCTTTTCATGTTTCCAGACTGCTGTTCAGGTCATTGAATGAATTCTTCTGATGTTGTATTTCTTATTTCTAATGTTTCCAGGTGGTTCTTTTTATACTTTTTTTCTGTTGAAATATTTAATGCAGTTATAATGGATTATTTAAAGTCCTTGTCTGCTAATTCCAATATCGGAACCGTTTGTGGGTCTCCAACTGACTGTTTTTTTTATTATGGCTTACATTTTCTACCTTCTATGTTTTATAATTTTTATTGTATATAAGACATCATGTGTAAAAGGACAATAAAGACTGAAATAAATGATATTTCCTCCCAGAAAAAAAAGTATACTTCTTTCCATCCCAGGCTGATAAGAGTTTGAGGGCAAAGTGAATGTAATCTGCACTTGAGCAAGATTTGAGATTTTTAGCAACTGGGTTATATTTAGCTTACTAATGGTTTCAATTATTTTGGGGGACATTAGAAATTTCTAGTTCAATATGTCAACTGCTATTTACATCTTCATTCAAAGTAATAACTCTTGAAAAAAATAAGCCCTTATTCCCCTCGTCATACCCCAAATAGGGCATGATTGAAAGTAGGGATTAGGCCTTTCCTTCCAGCAGTGCTCAGAATTTGTGTACTTGTGATAATCTGTAGATCTCTTTAGGCATTATTTTTCCAAATTATGGGCTGTCTCTCTCCTTCCCAGCCGTGTTGACAACTTTTTCAGTCACCAAAGAATTTTCTTTGCTCTCAAGCTCTAATGTTGGCTCACCGTATCTTAGAAGAACTATCTTCTCTTCTGCAGGCCTGTTCCCAGCCTTCACTGGACCACCATACTGTACTTGGAAAAGGCCCAAAAGGCCCACTGAAATATATATATATATATATATATATATATTTTTTTTTTTTTTGAGACAGAGTCTCACTCTGTCACCCAGGCTGCAGTGCAGTGGCTCGATCTCAGCTCACTGCAAACTCTGCCTTCCAGGTTCAAGCAATTCTCCTACCTCAGCCTCCCAAGTAGCTGGGATTACAGGCGCCCACCATCATGCCTGGCTAATTTTTGTATTTTTAGTAGAGATGGGGTTTCACCATGTTGGCCAGGTTGGTCTTGAATTCCTGACCTCAGGTGATCCTCCCACCTCGGCCTCCCAAAATGCTGGGATTCTAGGCATGAGCCACGATGCCCTGCCTGAAATTTATAGACATTCCTTTCACCTCTTCTGCTCTGTGCCCAGCTGTGCCCTGCTTTGCTCTTAGAAAAGACCCCTTATGCCAAGGGGGAAATCTCTCTCAGTTCTTCTGCCCTGGCCACACCTTTTTAGGACAGTGCCCAGGTACACTCGGTGCAGGTCCATGGGAAGAGTTAGTGGGTGCGTACAGACTCTCCTATGACTAATTAGGGCTTCCAAATTCTGGCCTGTCATGACAGTCCACATGTAGCCTTGAAAAGTTCATTAATAAATAGACTGGCTTCTCATTACCTCTTTCATGGTAGGTTCACTCCTTTTTCCACCATGCCCCTAGCAATCAAAGCAGCTATGAGATTCTTCTCTCTTAGAAAGGGCTCATCTCTTTCCAGATTTACTTAATCTAGAATACACTGATCTCTGATGATGGTTTTTTAAAAAGAATATTATGATTTTACAGTTTATCCAGCTTGTGCTCATTGTCAGGATGAAAACATCTGTCTCCTGTTCTAGTACTATGCTTGATACTTTTCATTTTCTGGGTTTTTACAACTCTAATCTCATTGACTTCTCTGGCTTTTTAGGCTCTCTTTGTCGGAATCCTCTTCATATAAAGGCTTGATACCACACAACTTGTGAGATGCAATTTCTTTTTGGTATTTCATTGTCCATTTATACTTTTTTATTGGGAGATATCCTTTCCGTTTCCTGAATAAAAAGCTGGGCAGTCACCCTGGGGAAATAAATAAAGCTGAAGAATGATTTAAGTCAGGAAGTCTCAGTTTGGACATTAGAAAGTTCTAGTTTAATATATTAATTCGTACTTAAATCTTCATTCAAAGTTATAACTCTTCAAAAGCATAAGCCCTTATTCCCCTCCTTATGCCCCAAATAGGGCATGATTGAAAGCAGATTAACTACCTTCAAGAAAGGAGGTTTGATTCACTTTTGCTCTTTTTCTTACCTCCTCCTAATCGCTGTTTTTAAACTTGCCATGGGAGGAGAGGAAAACAATGCCAAAGTTCTACCCTGACTGGTACTGTCTTAAGGTGGTTCTGTTATCTCAGAGTCTGGCAGAAATTAAAAGGCTGACTCTTCCTCTCATGAGCAAATTAGAAGATTTTTTTTGGAGGCTCTCCTACTGAAGCCTCCAAATAGAACACTGACATAAATTTTCTTGGTCAAGATAATTTTTAAATGACATTGTACTAATATTTTTACCATGAGTTCCACATCCCTTCTCCAGAACCATGCATCTTAAACACACCTTCAGAAGGAAGAATAATCTCCCACTGTCCTGCTACCAGAGGCTAGACCAGGTGGCCTCTCTCTCACTGTATGATTCCCTAGGCATAGATTAGATATCAATCAATAGTTCTCCCACTCTTAATACAAGGTTTACATATCAAGCTCTCCAAGTGATCTCCTTTGAAGTCCCTTCCCAAGACTTGATGAAAAATACTGGGAATCACAGAACCAATTTTTCTCAAAGAAATCCTCATTAGAAATTCTATCAATCTCTTTAGATCTTTTATATTTTCCTTGTTGGTGAGAGAACTAGCAAAACATCCTCAAACACCTAGTTTACTTTTCTGCCTGGTGATCTGATATCTCATTTGTAATTTTCTTTATACCTGTTGTATTTTAATGTCTCAGTCAAAACACCTAATTTGACAACCTATTTCATCTTCCTTTCCCTATCTGCTAAGTATTCGAATTTCTTGAGCCGATCATTGCTGCACTCAACACACTCAGTTTCTCTGAGCAGTTCTTATGTCCAGCTTCATCCCTTCACTTGAGTCTCTGACTTTAGATTCCAACTACTCACTGAACAATTACACTCTGGGGGCACTATGGAAACTTTGAATTTAGCAAGTTCCAAACAAGCTTACTAACTTCTTCATTCTCTATTTCTAACTTGCACATCATATGCCTTTAGTTCTGCTCTTCTATCTTCTTGGAATGCCCTTGCCATTTCCCTCCTATTTCACTTCTTGCTATGCCTAAAGAAACCTACCAATTTCTAGCTTAGATGTCAACTGCTAATTTTCTACACCCAGAAAGATTGATTGGTTCTCTTCTAGATTTCTCAGATTTTTCTTTCCTCCATTAATAGCATTGCCTTCTATTTAGTCATACCTGCACCTGTCTCTGTCTTCTTCATAACTTGGCAGGTCCTCAAAGGGAATGTCACACTCATCTCTTTATTCCCTTGTGCCCAGGGAAGTCCTGATATATAGTAGGTTCTCACTAAATGTATGCTTATTTTAATTTTTGTATATATATATATATAAAATTTGATTCTTACAACATATCTATCAGGACAAAATTATTACTATCTATCCCCAAATTCCAGACAAGAAAATTGCAGTTCAGTTATGTTAAGCTACTAGAAACAAGGTCTCACAGGTGGAAAAGAAGCAGAGCCAGTACTTTAAAATTATATATTTCACTCATGGCCTAGTCCTCCTCCTAGTATTCCTCTTTTCTACTGTGTTTGTTTTCATTCTAGCCTTATGCTGCCTGGCATTTTAAGCATCCCTAAAGATTTTTCATTCCCAAGCTCCTATTGCACATTTTTAAAGACAAAAGATGTATGAAGATTCTGCCGCTATTCTGCCTCCTCCCAATTTCTTCCAAATAGCGTGCTTAAAATACAACAATCAATTCATTTTACTAATTGATATATCATAGGCTCTCTACATTGTTTCCTCAAGATATCCATATAAGCTGTTGACAACACTAGTACTATGCCGCCTCTATGCTTCTCTGCCTCTTTTATTTACACAAGCAAGTCATCTACAACTTGGCCTGCTGTTTAAAAGGCATTACAGAGCTATGGATCTCCCCAAAAGCCAGGTGTTGTGGTAAGAGATGCCTCCGGCTATTTTTTCCCAGGCCTGGCTTCCAACTCATAGGTGAGTATTGTAAAGAAAGACTGAGCTTTGTCTTATTAAAATATTTTTATCCTGACTTGGGTTTTCCTCTGCTTCACCAACTAATACAGTTGGCACATGCCTTAGCAGAAGCTGAGATAGGGCTTGCATGCAGGTAATTTATTTTGGGAAGTGATTCCAGAAAACAGAAGTCAGGTAGCAGAATAAAATTGGGACAGGTAAAAAGCCAGTACAAAGGTAAAAAGCCAGTACAAAGAGCTGGTCACTTCTATGGAAAATTGGGCATTAGTTTCATCAGGACCCTCTAAGGAATTAATATAGAATGCACTTCAGAAACATCCCCCTCAGGGAAGAGAAACATCCCCTCAGGGGAGCATTATCTCAAGTTCCCATTTCTCATTTGCCCAAGATTATTCCATGGGTTATAACTCCCTTTCACTTCTAAATTGTACATGTAGATTCCAGTTAATTTCTGAGTATCTCCACCATGGTGTTGGATGATCCTGAGGCAGAAAGCAAGTAAAGAGATGTCAGCTTGCACCTGCGTGAAGCTGGCTGCCCTAGTAGTGACTGGGCTAAAAAGTGGGGTGAGCAAATGGGAGACAATGTAATGAAGAGTCCAGTGTACCACATGTGGCTAAGCCCAGTGTCCTAGCCTCCAATGACAGGACCACACCAGAGCTCCCTTAGGAGAAAGTAGAATGCAGGGAGGGAAGTCAGCATGGACATGGGGTACGCAAGAGCTTCTTAAAAACCAGCACCAACAAAACCAGTGCTGTGGAGAGGCAGAGCCAGTGCTGTGGAGAGGTAGAGCCAGACGACTAGGACTGCCAGCAAAGCAAACAGATGGCCAGAAACCTGTGCCTTAGAACCAGCAGGTCATTCACTCCAGTATCCCCCAAATCCTGCTTTGTCTTCTACAGTTGGCCTATCTGAGGCTGGATAGAGATTTACACAATCTTCAGGCAAGTTGATTGCTCCAGAGATCAACCCCACTCCATACCCCATTGACTTCCTCAGCAACAGCAGCTTAGGCACATTGAAGAAGGCAATATTATCCTCCACCACCTCTGCCTCCAGTTGGAACTCTCTAGTTTTAAAGCCTCATCTCTCAACCCCTCAGAAGACCAACACCTTCTTGCTCCTCTCAGTTGCCGATACCCACCACTGTCCTCCCAGGATGTGGCCTGCCCCCATATCTCTTCCCAATGATATCTATGCCTTAAATACTGGAACCTGTGAATATGTTACATTACACGGAAAGAGTGACCTCAAGGCAGAGAAATGACCCTGGATTATCCAGGCAGGCCCAGTGCAATCACATGAGCCCTTAAAAGCTCGGAAACTTCTTCCTCTGAAATCAATGAGATAGAGGTGACAAAGGGAATCAGGAAGAATGAGGCAGAAGTAAAGGACAGACAGATATGAACGGTGAGAAGGACTTGACCCACCATTGCTGGTTTTGATGAATGTGGCTGGACTCTAAGAGCTGAGAATGACCCCCAGCCAACAACCAACAAGAAACAGGGACTTCAGTCTCACAACCACAGGAAGCTGCCAACAACCTGAATGAGCCTGGAAGCAGATCCTTTCCCACAGTCTCCAGTGAAGAACACAGGCATCCTGATTTTAGCCCTGTGAGAACCATTTCAGATATCTGAGCTAAAGAAACTATAAGATAATACATTTGTGAGTGTGGGGAAAGTGGCTCATGCTTGTAATCCCAGCACTTTGGGAGGCTGAGGTAGGAGGATTGTTTGAGGCCAGGAATTCAAAACCAGCCTGGGCAATACAGCAAGACCCCATCCAAAAAAAAAAAAAAAAAAGGCCAGATGTAGTGGTGTGTACCTATAGTCCTAGTTACTCAGGAGACTGAAATAGAGAGGATCACTGGGGCTGAGGAGTTCAAGGCTGTAGTGAGCCATGATCATACCACAGCATTCAAGCCTGGGCAACAAAGTGAGACTCTGTCTCCAAAAAATAAACAAATAAATAAGTACATTTGTGTACATTTGTGTTACTTGAAGTAACTAAGTTTGTGGCAATTTGTTAAAGTATTAATAGAAAACTAATACAGAGTCCTAAGTGATTGGTTCAAAAACAACTCTTTGATAAGCTGGTAGATTTTAAGGTGCTTTAGACTGGCTATATTATCCATCTCAGGAGAAGTTAATTTTTCAAACTTAGGAGCAGTATGGAAAAAATGAAAGATTCTGAGAAGTGGGTACTCCTCCTAAAGAAGGTCTGCTTTCCACTGTCAAACTTAAAGCAATGGGATTGGCATTATCAACAGAAATGTAAAGAGCAGAGATCATTGAGGAATTCCCAGTCCATAGGGTGTTAACTTCACCTTGACTGGACATTTACCCCCTCCTCCATTGCTTGGAATCCTGAAAAATATTCCATAGGGAAACTGCAGCCAAATACATACCCTTCTTCCTAGGCTCCCCCACCATTCTTTTTTCCAAAAGTTCTGGACTGAGCAGATTTATATTCCTCCTTTCCCTATCTCCTTATTTTGTCTTGCTCCACTTCCTTTCTTCTGGTCCCTCTATCACTCTTAAACCTGACAGGGAACTTCCTCAGTTAACAGAGTCTGCCCCAACTTCTATTCTAACAGAGGAGAGGAAAAAAGAACACAGAGAAACACCACAACAATCTCTGTACTTTTCCCATCAAAGCATTCCCTATCCAGTGAAAGAGGTGAAGGGAAGAGTTGGTCTGTGTTGTCTCCTTTGGGTCATTTTGTTCATGACCCTTAACAAAGTCCTTCTCTGAGATTAGAGAGAAACAAAAAGAGAAGGAAAAAATGGATGTGCTCAACACAAAGCAAGAACAATGACTATTAAGCACATTCATCTCTTAATGGATACACCATCCTCCATAAATAATTGGAGTATCTCAAAGTATCTCCCACCAAATATGTATTAATTAAAAAAGGAAAATAGCACCTTTACCATGGAGAAACCTGAAAGATACCACCTTATCCAAGTGATAAATGTCAACCTCACCAGCTGTAGAACATATCAGCATCAAGCATTCCCCAATATGATTTTCTAAAAGGGCATATCATATCTGTGGTATTTTTCCCTAATAATGAATCATCTCTATCTAATCATGAAAAAATATCAGAGAAACAAAAAGTAAGGACATACTATAAAAAATAGCTTAACCAGAGTTTTCCAAAAGTAGCATGTGCATGAAAGACAAAAGAAAACTAAGGAATTAGCAGAAATTGGAGGAGACTAAGGACATATAACAACTAAATGCAATGTGGAATACCAGATTGAATTCTGAAATAGTAAAAGGAAATCCATGGAAAAACTGGTAAAATCTGAAGAAAATCTATAGCTTAATTAACAGGGTTAATACCTTATTTTTGATCATATACCACTGCTACATGAAATGTTAACATTAGGGGAATCTGAGTTACAAGAACTCTGCACTATTTTTGTGACTCCCCGTAAGTCTAAATTAACTCTTCCACAAGTTACCTATATGATTTTTAAAATTTTAATTAACCTTTTTGAGTCTCAGTTTCTTCATCTGTGAAAAGAATATTTTTGGATTAAATGACTTCCCAAGATTCAAACTGGTTTAAAGAGAGAAAGTACATTTGAAAGGAGAGAGAGAAAAAAAAGACAATAAAATGATAATATTAAAATGTGCAAAATCTGTTAGATTGTTTGCAGTGGACTAAACTGTGTCTTTCCCTCCTGTTTCCCATATAAATTCATACATTGAAACCCTAACTTTCAGTGTGATGGTATCTGGAGATGGGGCCTTTGGGAGATAATTAGGTTTAGGTGAGGTCATCAGGGTGGGCACTCATGATGAAATTAGTACCCTTACAAGAAGAAACACTAGATAATTCGCTCGCGCTCTCTCTCTCTCTCTCTCTCTCTCTCTCTCTCTCTCTCTCTCTCTGTCTGTCTCTGAACACACAGGCACCAAGGAAAGGCTCTGTAAACACATATGACCACTAGAAGGTGGCCATTTGCAAGCCAGGAAGAGAGCCCTCACCAGAAATCAACCATGCTGGCACCTTGAGTTTGGACTCCCAGCCTAGAGAACTGTGAGGAAATAAATTTCTGCTGTTTAAACCATCAGTCTATCATATTTTATTATGGCAGCCCGAGCTGACTAAGACACAGTTTTTTTCCATACATAATACTAATGTTAAAAATAACCAAAATAATTATACATAAGAGAAAAATAAAGGTTCAGCAAGATAATGAGTAAAACACTTAGCACACACAATAAGTACTCAATAAATGTCATTGTTTATGGCTTGACAAGGGGATTTGGCTTAGGAAGTGGAACAGATATGTTTTGGATCTAGGCACTCTAGATTCCTAATGTCATGCAGAGAGATAAAATAGTAAATAAGTAAATAGTCTGAAAACTATAAAGAATTAGCACACAAGAGATAATGTCAATGTGAGGGAGAGGAAGAAAACTAGAAGGTCAATGATGACTACCAAATTAAAAAATCCCCAGTGGAGTAAAACCTGAGGGAAGAGAGGATGAAATATGTGTATAAATGAACAGTTTGAAATCCCATGCCTACATGACCATGCACCTAAGCAGGACTAGCCACCCCTCCCCTATTTTCTACCCAGGACCAGAACCAGTCCAATGGATAAGAATAAATATCAGTAACGAAAAAACTGGCTTAGACTCTGCTCTAAAGAATTCCAAGTTCAAGTGATTTTGAAAATGGATGTTTAGGATTGGTATAAAAACTGTGCTGACAGACCTTTGAACAAAAGTCCAAAAGAGTCATCAAGTCACAATTTGAAAACATATAGAAGATCAGAGATGTCTGGTTCTGACTAGTCATTTGAACTAATTTTTTGGCAGAAAAAAATAAAATTCTAGGCTGGGCACGGTCGCTTACATCTGTAATTCCAGCATTTTGAGAAGATGAAGCGGGCGGATCACTTGAGGTCAAGAGTTCAAGACCAGCCTGGCCAAAACGGTAAAACGCCGAATGGTAAAACACCATCTCTATCGAAAGTATAATAATTAGCCAGGTGTGGTCATGGGCGACTGTAGTCTCAGCTACTTGGGAGGCTGAGGTGGAAGAATCACACAAGCCCAGGAGGTAAGGGTTGCAGTGAGCCGAGATCGCGCCACCACACTCTAGCCTGGGTGACAGAGCAAGACTCTGTCTCAAAAAGAAAGAAAGAAAGAAAATTCTAGGTAAAATATTTGTTAAATACTAAATAGCAAAGGCACCAAAGGATACAAAGTGACTACTAGGTTTAAAATAGAAGAAGAGTTGAGAACTTGAGGATTAAGCTGACACTCCACACTACTGTTACTCTAAGTGCATTTGACAATCAGGAAGAAATGGCTGGCTGAGTGCAGTGGCTCACACCTGTAATCCCAACACTTTGGGAGGCCGACGGCAGATCGCTTGAGGTCAGGAGTCTCCATTTTAGGTGAAACCCCATCTCCATTAAAAATACAAAAATTAGCTCTCCCTCTCCCTCTCCCTCTCCCTCACGGTCTCCCTCTCCCCACGGTCTCCCTCTCCCTCTCTTTCCATGGTCTCCCTCTGATGCCCAGCCGAAGCTGGACTGTACTGCTGCCATCTCGGCTCACTGCAACCTCCCTGCCTGATTCTCCTGCCTCAGCCTGCGGAGTGCCTGCAATTGCAGGCGCGCGCCGCCACGCCTGACTGGTTTTCGTATTTTTTTGGTGGAGACGGGGTTTCGCTGTGTTGGCCGGGCTGGTCTCCAGCTCCTAACAGCGAGTGATCCGCCAGCCTCGGCCTCCGGAGGTGCCGGGATTGCAGACGGTGTCTGGTTCACTCAGTGCTCAATGGTGCCCAGGCTGGAGTGCAGTGGCGTGATCTCGGCTCACTACAACCTCCACCTCCCAGCCGCCTGCCTTGGCCTCCCAAAGTGCCCAGAGTGCAGCCTCTGCCCGGCCGCCACCCCGTCTAGGAAGTGAGGAGCGTCTCTGCCTGGCCGCCCATCGTCTGGGATGTGAGTAGCCCCTCTGCCTGGCTGCCCAGTCTGGAAAGTGAGGAGCGTCTCTGCCCGGCCGCCATCCCATCTAGGAAGTGAGGAGCGTCTCTGCCCGGCCGCCCATCGTCTGAGATGTGGGGAGCGCCTTTGCCCCGCCGCCCCGTCTGGGATGTGAGGAGCGCCTCTGCCCGGCCGCGACCCCATCTGGGAGGTGAGGAGCGTCTCTGCCCAGCCGCCCCATCTGAGAAGGGAGGAGACCCTCCGCCCGGCAGCCGCCCCGTCTGAGAAGTGAGGAGCCCCTCCGCCTGGCAGCCACCCCGTCTGGGAAGTGAGGAGCCTCTCCGCCCGGCAGCCGACCCGTCCGGGAGGGAGGTGGGGGGTCAGCCCCCACCAGGCCAGCCGCCCCGTCCGGGAGGGAGGTGGGGGGGTCAGCCCCCCGCCCGGCCAGCCGCCCCGTCCGGGAGGGAGGTGGGGGAGTCAGCCCTCCGCCCGGCCAGCTGCCTCTTCCGGGAGGTGAGGGGCGCCTCTGCCCGGCCGCCCCTACTGGAAAGTGAGGAGCCCCTCTGCCCGGCCAGCTGCCCCGTCCGGGAGGGAGGTGGGGGGTCAGCCCCCCCGCCCGGCCAGTCGCCCCGTCCGGGAGGGAGGTGGGGGGGTCAGCCCCCCGCCCGGTCAGCCGCCTCGTCCGGGAGGTGAGGGGCGCCTCTGCCCGGCCGCCCCTACTGGGAAGTGAGGAGCCCCTCTGCCCAGCCACCACCCCGTCTGGGAGGTGTGCCCAACAGCTCATTGAGAACGGGCCATGATGACCAATGGTGGTTTTGTGGAATAGAAAGCGGGGAAAGGTGGGGAAAAGATTGAGAAATCGGATGGTTGCCGTGTCTGTGTGGAAAGAAGTAGACATGGGAGACTTTTCATTTTGTTCTGTACTAAGAAAAATTCTTCTGCCTTGGGATCCTGTTGATCTGTGACCTTACCCCGCAACCCTGTGCTCTCTGAAACATGTGCTGTGCCCACTCAGGGTTAAATGGATTAAGGGCAGTGCAAGATGTGTTTGTTAAACAGATGCTTGAAGGCAGCATGCTAGTTAAGAGTCATCACCACTCCCTAATCTCAAGTACCCAGGGACACAAACACTGCGGAAGGCCTCAGGGTCCTCTGCCTAGGAAAACCAGAGACCTTTGTTCACTTGTTTATCTGCTGACCTTCCCTCCACTATTGTCCTATGACCCTGCCAAATCCCCCTCTGTGAGAAACACCCAAGAATGATCAATAAAAAAAAAAAATTAAAAAAAAAAATAAAATAAATAAAATAAAATAAAATAAATACAAAAAATACAAAAATTAGCTGTGCATGGTAGTGAGTGCCTGTAATCCCATCTACTCGGGAGGCTGAGGCAGGAGAATCACTTAAACCCGGGACGCAGAGGTTGCAGTGAGCCAAGATCATGCCACTGCGCTCCAGCTTGGGTGACAGAGTGATACTCCACCTCAAAAAAAAACAAAAAAAGAAGAAGAAATGGCTGCAAAACTGATCTAAAGTGTTGGTGGATTCTCTACATAAAAAAAAATAGTTCAAATGATTCTCTACGTAGGAGGTATCTTTATCCCACTGCAAACCAGGAACTGAAGTCCTAACCAAGGTAGAGAGTCATATAGAACAACCCCCTTTTCCTTTCATACACACACACACACACACACACACACGCTAAGTCAGGATGTCAAAGAATTATCCCCACTCAGGGCACTCAGGATAGTGACTCCTTAGAAATAAATCTCCCACATCCTGATGGGAAAAATGGGAGAGAGGATAGAATGGTGATGAGAGAGAGATAAAGAAATCAAAAGATAAAGACAAATGGAAGAGAGGATAGAATGGTGGTGAGGGAGACAGAAAAAGTAGCTATAAAACAAGTTCTGATAGTCCAGTGGAAATTCCTCAAATTTGCATAATTGGGGTGGTCCAAAAATGTCAAGTCTGATTGTACTCTCTGCAGGTACCTGAAAAAGTAAACTCAAGTCAACTCTGGAGGGAGGTATCTTTATCCTAATGTGAACCAAAAATAAAATCCTAAGCCCTGCACCAACTGAATGGACATCTCCTCTAAGCCAATGGGATTCCCAAGGAAACCTGGAAAACTAGTTAACTAGTTCACACTATGCCGACGGGGGTCGGGGCGGGGGCAGCGGTGGTGGCGGGCGGGGGGGGGGGGATCTGACATGCCTCATTATACTCTCCTTCCTTTGGAATTCAGGAACAACTGAGCAGCATTAACATTAAAACAGAGATCTTAAGACTGACAAAACAGACTCTTTGTAGCAATAAGATACCAAATTCAGACCTGACTATGGTATAGCATCACATGACTGATAGCAGGCCCTGAAAGAAATCATTTTACCCTAAAATATATTTGTGATATTTTGAAATGGCCCTGCCAGGCTATCTCTTATGGGGGAAATTTACATTTTGTAGATCTTTTCCCGATCCTGAAGAGATTAGCTGAGAGTCTGGTACCTTTTTAAGATCAGTATAGGAAACATTTGCCATCTATCGCCTCTAAGAGCAGCCACCTATGAGACTTCATCTACATAATAAAAACCTTAGTCTCCGCAATCCCTTATCTTAACCCAGACACTCCTTTTTATTGACTCCAGGCCTTTAGATAATAACTTAATTATTTCAACCAATTGTGAATCAGAAAATTTTTGAACCCACCTATGACCTAGAATCACCACTTCAAGCGTCCCACCCTCCCAGACCAAACCAATGTATACCTCACATGTATTGATTGATGTCTTATGTCTCCCTTAAACGTATAAAACCAAGCTGCAACCCATCCACCTTGGGTACATGTTCTCAGGACCTCTTAAAACTATGCCTTGCACCTTGATCACTCATGATTCGCTCATAATAAACCTCTTTACAAATTTTACAGAGTTTGCCTCTTTTTTGTTGACATAGGCCTTTGAGAATATACACAAATAATTTTTAAGGGCCATGGGGGGCACAGAAAGATTTTTGATTACATAAAGAAACAAGTTACCAAAAATAAGAACTAAGGCCAGACATGGTAGCTAACATTTATAATTCCAGCACTTTGGGAGGCCGAGATGGGATGATTGTTTGAGCCCAGGAGCTCAAGACCAGCCTGGGCAACATAGTGAGACCTCATCTCTACAAAAAAAAAATTTTAATTAGTTGAGCGTAGTGGTGTATGCCTGTAGTCCCAGCTACTTGGGACTAGCTGGGAGCATCACTTGAGCCTGGGAGGCAGAGGTTGCAGTGAGCCATGTCATACCACTGCATTCCAGCCTGATGACAGAGCAAGACCCTGTCTCAAAAAAATAAATAAATAAAAGAAATGAGAACCAATAGAAATGATGAGATGGGAGCGTTCCCTTGACCTTGACCCCCTTTGTGGGCAAGAACTGAAATGGCTCATTTCACTCAGCCTGCCACTGGCCCCTTCTTGAGAGAGGGAGCGTGCAAGTAAGGGAGGAGACCACCCCTCATATTGTGTTATGCCCAATTTCTGCCTCCAAAGAAAGAAGAAGTAACAACTAAAAGGCAGAAATGAAATCCACAGGCAGACAGCCTGGCGCAGCCCTGGGCCTGGTTAAAGATCGACCCCTGACCTAACCCGTTATGTTATCTATAGATTCCACACATTGTATGGAAAAGCATTGTGAAAATCCCTGTCCTGTTCTGTTTTGTTCTGATTACCGGTGCATGCAGCCCCCAGTCACGTATCCACTGCTTGCTCAATGATCACGACCCTCTATCCCCTTGGAGTTGTGAGCCCTTAAAAGGGACAGGGATTGCTCACCTGGGGAGCTCAGTTGTTGGAGACGTGAGTCTTGCTGAACCTTCCAGCCGAATAAAACCCTTCCTTCTTTAACTCGGTGTCTGAGGGGTTTTGTCTGCGGCTTGTCCTGCTACACAAGCAAGCGAGTGCGGGAACTGGAGTGAGTGAATACTGGAACCGGGGGTCACTTCTCTCTGGTGAGAACAGGCTCTGTGTGGGCCCCGCAGCAGCCTCCGAGCCCCTGCCCTCTCGGCACCTGAGTTCTCGTCCAGCATCTGGGAAGAATGAGGTCCCATGAATGGGTTGAAGGGTAGTGTGTGTGGAGGATTTTATTGGGTAATAAAAGCAGTTTTCAGTGGGATGGAGAATTGGAAAAGGGATGGTGCAGGAAGAAGGTGATCTTTCCCTGAAGCTGCACCATCTGAAGTTAGCCGTGTCTATCTGTGGTCTCGGACACTCAGTTGCTGCTTCTCTGTTTGCTGCTCAACCACTTGTATCCCAGCCGCTCAGCCGCTTGTGTTACTCTGCCAGCTGAAGTCTTTTTATGGGCATAGGATAGGGGCGGGGCAGGCCAAAAAGGCAACATTTGGGCAGAAAAATGGGGTCAGCTGTTTTCACTTAAGACTGCGGTTCCAGGCTTAAGGGTGGGGTTTAGCCAGGGGCCCAGGTGTTCTGTATCAATAACAAGGAACAGAAACTAGAAACTGATCCCCAAAGACTTCAGATGCAGAAGCAATTGGAAATTAAAACTTAAAGCTACTTACTATTTGAAGGAAATAAAATATCTGCTTTTAAAAATGACAGCATTTGAGGAAAATGATTTCAAATCTGGCATATAGGATGCCTGGAAGTTGTCGTTTTTGTCCTCACAAGATAAAAGGTGAACAAACTAAAGATCAGCAACTCTTCTTAGATCCATCAGAGAATGGGGACCACAGTGCAAACTGATGCCCCCGGAATTGGAGAGACAGAAAGGCAGATACAAGAAATCACAATATACTGGAGCAAACGCCCAAGAATGAACACCTCCCCAGGAACCAGTACTGGAATAAGAAAACCTAAAAGTATAACTAATGAATTGCTGGAGGCTCAGGATGAACATGTTTGAGAATTTAAAACTCCGAGGGGGCTCGGTTTTAGGTGTATGCACCCACAATTTTGTGAGTTTTACCACTTGGAGGTAAAACTCTACCAGGTTCTCACAGTGGACATCAGAGAAAAATTCCCTTGTGTTTCTTGGGGATGGAAAAAGTCACCATTGTGAAGGATGCCAGAGCGTTCTGCTCTCCTTAACAAGGCCCACGTGCAAGAGACAGTATTTTACCAGAGGCTACCTAACCTACTGGATTTTCATCAGAGTCTAACTGACCTCAAGAAGGGAAATACCCAAAGCCAGCCCCCTCTGGCCCTCCTGTCTCACCTAAGAGGGGAAACAACGCAGAACAAAACTGAGAAGCTCTTGATAAGGGCACAGCCCAGGGGCACAGGCTCACTAAGAGACTGAAACCTGATCACAGGGCTGTAGAACACTGGCCTCCACTCCCCCAACCTTTTACCACCACTTCAATGGGGCTCCAGTATAATAATGGGAAAATACAACCGAAAGAACTGCATGTCTCAGACCTTATTTAAGACGTCTCTATAGAGAAACCAAAAGATCAGAGGGGAGACAAACAACAAGGATACTGAAGTAAATTTTAGACTCTGACATCGACAGTTACAACAAATAATAAACACAGCCTAAGCCTTAGCAAGATAAACATAAAACCTTACTAAAGGCCTACTTACCTTGGTTTCTTTCTACCTGGTGATACTGGTGGGCTGGGGGAGGTCCCCGAATGCAGGGGGGACGTTGGCCTAGCCAGTGTCCAGGCTCTTGACACTGTTGTGAGAAGGAATTTAAGGATGAGTTGGAAAAGAGTGAAAGTACAGAGACTTATTGCAAAGCGAAAAGGACACATTCAAGAAAAGAGAATGTGGGCATACTCATGAAAGAGCCACTCCCAGTGGGGTTTGGGGTTTATAACTTTTTGGGCTTCTTTAACCAAGGTGTGAAACATTCCTGAAGATTCCCAGAAAGAGGTGAAGATTTCTTGGAACTGCGGTGTTACCCATTTTAACATCCAAATATGGATGCTCCTGGAACTGTCTTGGCGCTGGTGGGTATGTGATTTACAATGCTAATGTGCATATAATTAGGTCCTAGGTGAAACCTAGGTCAAATCCAGCGCCATGTTGAGTCCACTCAGTCTTAGCCAGCTTGGTCCACATCCTCGTTTTCAGTCTTATCAGGCCCTATCTCATGCAGCTATTTCAAGTTTCCTTTTGCTAGTCATGTGAAACTGCTGCTTAGAATTTTCTATTCTCCTGTGACCACCTTGTCTTATGCCTGTCTCACTAATACCTCATATTTGGCTTTCAATAAAATATTACAAGTCACACTAAAAGACAAAAAAAAAAAAAAAAAACCCACAAAAAACCCCAAACATTGAAGAAACAGAGCAAATGTCAGAACCAGACTTGATATGGCAGAGATATTGAAATTATTAGAAGAGGGATTTAAAATAAATATTAAAATGCTAAGGACTGTAATGAAAAAAGGGAACAACTTGCAAGAACAGATAAATAATGCAAGCAGAGAGATGAGAACTCTAAGATAGAATCAAAGGAAATGCTAGAAATAAAAAACATTGTAGCAGAAACAAGAATGCCTTCAAAAAGCTCATCAATAGGACAGAGTGGAGGAAAGAATCAGCTGGCTTGAGGAAGTTTCAATAGAAACATCCAAAACTGAAATGCAAAAAAAAAAAAAAAAGGGAATAAAAAAAATCACAAAGCATCCAAGAACTGTGGAACAATTACAAAAAGTATAAATACGTATAGTGTGTGAGTTCCAGAAAGAAAAGAAACAGAATAAATATTTTAGATAATAATGAATAAGAATATCCCAAAATTGATAATAGACAACAAACCACTGATCCAGGAAGTTTAGAGCACACCAAACATGATATACCTAGGCATATCATATTCATTATACCTAGGCATATCATATTCAAACTATAGAAAGTCAAGGACAGATAAAAATCTTGAAAGAATCCATAAGGGAAGGATGAGGGAAAAAACAACCTTATCTATAGAAGAGGCTTGTTGGAAACCATGCAAGCAAAAAGAAAATGGAGAGAAATTTAGAATAAAGCATTGAAAGAAAAAAAACCAACATCAACATAGAATCCTGAATAGAGCAAATATTTTCTTCAATATGAAGAAGGAATAAATCCGCTCCTCTCCCCTCCCCTCCCTTCCCCTCCCCTCCCCTCCCCTCCTCTCCTCTCCTCTCCTCTTCTCTCCTTTTTTGAGACAGAGTCTTGCTCTGTTGCCCAGACTGGAGTGCAGTCACATGATCTCAGCTTACTGCAACCTCCGCCTCCCAGGTTCAAGCGATTCCCCTGCCTCAGCCTCTGGAGTAGCTGGGATTACAGGCGCACACCACCACACCCGACTAATTCTGTATTTTTAGTGGAGACAGGGTTTCACCATGTTGGCTGGGTTGGTCTCGGACTCCTGACCTCAGGTGATCCGCCTGCCTCAGCCTCCCAAAGTGATGGGGTTACGGGCGTAAGGCACTGTGCCCAGTCGGAATAAATATTTTCTAATACAAACAGAAATTAAGGGAATTTGTCATCAGCAGACTTAAATGCAAGAAATGTTACAATAAATTCTACAGACAGAAGGAAAATGATAAAATGATATAGGTCAAAAATTTGGATTTACATGAAGAAAGAATGTTAGAGAAGAAATAAAGGTAAAATGAAATATTTTATTCTTATTTTTAATTGATTAAAAGAGAATAGTTTGTTCAAAATAATAATAGCAACATGTTTTCGGTGATTATAGCTTATAGATAGATTAGCGAAATGAATGACAGCAATGTTAGAAAGGATGAGAGAGAAGAATTGGGAGTACTCTGTTATATAGTACTTGCACTGCTTGTGAAGTAGTATAAAAATATTTGAAAGAGGACTTGAAATAATTGTAAGTATATACCGCAAACTCAAGGGCAGCCACTAAAAAAAAGTTTTTTAAAAATAAAATATTTGAGAATCATCTAGAATTAAGGAAAACACCAATCCATATAATTAAAATGCCCTACAAACTCTTTGCAAAATACATTTTTAAAAAACTATATGGCACATATAATTGTGAAACTGCAGAAAACCACAGGAAAAGAGAAAATATTAAAAGCAGTCAGACCAATTTCCAAGAAATACAAAGGAGGGAGAAATATATTAAATGTACATAATAAACTATATAAACAACCAAACCAGCAAGATCCAGAGGTTCACAACTTCATAGGACAAACAACTCATTTCTTCAACAAATAAATTGCAAAAAAAAAAGCAGAGGAATCTGTGGTAAGGCTGTAGATGAAACATGACTGACATGAGTTAGTAATTATCAAAGACGGATGTTCGGCACATGGTACATGGTTGATGGTACATAGTTTATTATATTACCTTCCTATTTTCATATCTATTAAAAGATTTTATGATAAAACTTTTAAAAAGAGAAAATGGCAACTTTAAAAAGAAAAATGGTAATCTTTCACAACATGCCTTTGAAGTTGACAGTAAGATCAAGAAGTAAAATTCTCAACAGCAACAATGAAAGGTAGAAATCTGTGGAATGAATTCTTCCATGTGCCAGACTAAGTAACTACCAGACTAAAATTCTCCACCTAGCAAAAATATCTTCTAAGAATGAGAGAAAAATAAATACATGTTCTGGAAAATATAAATTGCAAACTCCCTAAAGGAAAATGATCCCACATAGCACATAGGGAAGATATAAAAAGGGATACTATATAGAAATCTGAGATGTGGCCAGGCGCAGTGACTCATGCCTATAATCCCAGCACTTTGGGAGGCCAAGGCAGGTGGATCACCTGAAGTCAGGAGTTCAAAACCAGCCTGGCCAGCATGGTGAAACCCCATCTCTACTAAAAATACAAAAATTAGCCGGGCGTGGTGGGTGGCACGCGCCTGTAATCCCAGCTGCTTGGGAGGCTGAGGCAGGAGAATTGCTTGAACCTGAGAGGTGGAGGGTGCGGTGAGCTGAGATAGTGCCACTGCACTCCAGCCTGGGCCACAGAGTGAGACTCTGTCTCCAAAAAACAAAACAAAACAAAAGAAATCTGAGATGTAAAAAGGAAGAAAAATAAACTGGTAAATATGTGGATAAATACATTTGAAAATGATGTATAAAACAGTAAAAATACTGTCTAGTGGAGTGTTTTATGACAGTATTAAAATACTTGACAGCAACATATTAATTAATTTATTTATTTATTTATTTTGTGACGGAGTTTTGCTCTTGTTGCCCAGGCTGGAGTGCAATGGCACAGTCTCAGCTCACTGCAACCTCCACTTCCTAGATTCAAGCAATTCTCCTGCCTCAGCCTCCCAAGTAGCTGGGATTACAGGCAAGCGCCACCATGCCTGGCTAATTTTGTATTTTTAGTAGAGATGAGGTTTCGCCATGTTTGCCAGGCTGGTCATGAACTCCTGGCCTCACATGATCCACCTGCCTCAGCCTCCCGAAATGTTGGGATTACAGGCGTGAGTCATGGTGCCCATCCTTAATTAATTTTAGACTTAACTAATATGTATGTTGTAAATTCTAAGGTCCCTACTAAAAAAATTGAAACTATGTTTTTAACATCTAAACTTGTAGGAAAAAAATGCAATGATCAAAGTTTATCAATCTAAAACTTAGCAAGAAAGGAAAAAAATGAACATAGAATAGCTAGAGCCAACACAAAGCACAAAGAAGAAAATAAGATGCTGGATTTAAACCCAAATGTTCCAGTAATTATATTAGGTATAAATGGACAGAATATTTTAATAAAAGGCTATTTTCAAAAAGTATAGTGCTATACATTATTTAAAAGAAACATCTAAACCTTAAAAATACAGAGTAGTTTTTAAAAATTATTAGGAACTTTGAACAAAAGAAAGCTCATGTAGCTATGTTAGATATCTGTGAAAATGGACTTTTAGATAAAATAATTGAGATAAGGAGGAATACTTTAATAAAAGCTAAACTTAAGCAGGAAAAAATAACAATTTTACATTTACATGCACCTAATGACATGGCCTTCAAATATATAAAGCAAAACTTTACAATAACAAGAAATCAATAAAATAGGAAAAAAATAGTAAAGAAATAGAATATTTGAACAACAAAATTGACAAAATTAAGGTTATAGATACATGTACAAGACTCTAACCAATAGCTACAGAATATATACAACATTTAAAAAATCATTGTCTACTGGAACATAAAAAGCATTAATTAGTCTTAAAGAAATAAACTTTATACAATATGTTCTCTGGCAACAATGTGATTAATCTAAAAATCAATCACAAAAAGAAAACTTGCTGGGTGCTGTGGCTCACACCTCTAATCCCAGCACTTTGGGAGGCCGAGGAGGGTGGATCATGAGGTCAGGAGACTGAGACCATCCTGGCCAACATGGTGAAACTCCGTCTCTACTAAAAATACACAAATTAGCTGGGCACGGTGGTGCGTGCCTGTAATCCCAGCTACTCGGGAGGCTGAGGCAGGAGAATTGCTTGAACAAGGGAGTCGGAGGTTGCAGTGAAGCTGAGATCATGCCACTGCACTTCAGCCTGGGGACAGAAAGAGACTCCGTCTAAAAAAAAAAAAAACAAACCACCGAAATAAACCCAAATAACATAGAAGGAAATCATTAATATAAGTAAGAGCTGAAATTTAATTTAAAATATATATAAGAAGACAGAGGAGGCAGTCTTAAGTTGCTTTCAGTGAGGAAGATTGGGGTGGTGAAGGTGATTAGAGGGCAGGTATGGGAGAGAATTTTTACTGCTTATATCCTATTTTCCAAATCTTAAACAAGATGAAAGTCACATTCTTTTATAAATTAAGCACTAGTTTTAAATTAAAAATAAATGATCAGATGAGGTACGCAACATAAAAGGTACTAGAGGGTAGGCAGACTCATAAATGCCTCATTGGAATACATCATTGCCTACTCATATAATGGCCTTAAATTAATAAAGTAGTTGTGCTTGTGGAGATTGGGATGGAGGTAGAAATGGCAAATTTCATTGCCTACTCATTTACTGATCTTAATAAAGTAGTTGTGCTTGTGGAGATAGAGATGGAAGTAGTAACGTAGCAGTGGTGGTGGAGGTGGTGGTAGTAGAAGTGAAGGTGGTGGTGGTGGAGTTGGATGTGGAAGTAGAAGTGGTGTTGGTGGATGTGGTGCAGGTGGGAGGTGAAGGCAATGGAGGTGGAGGTGGCGTTGGTGAAGGTGGAGGTGATAGTAGTAGAGGTGGTGGTGGTTGTAGAGGTGGAAGTAGAAGGGGAGGTGTTGGTTTGGTAGGGATTGGAATTGGGATGATACCAGCTCTTGGAGCTCCTCCATTAAGCTTTACAGTTTCTATTAGCCAAATATCCTAGGCAATAGAAAAGACTTACTCATCAATATGGGCTAAAAAATATGGGAACGCTCTATCTCAATCTAGTTAAAGTCACCATGTTTTCTTCCTTCTTTTTTGTGTTCTATTTTTAATGCATTTTTTAATTGTAGTAAAGACACACACACTCAGGAGATCTACCCTCTTAACACTTTTTTATGTGTACAGTACATTATTGTCAACTACCAGCACAATGCCATATATAACAGATTTGTAGACTATTTTCATGTCGCATAACTGAAACTTTATACATGCTGCACAGCAGCTCCCCATTTCCCTCTTTCTCTACCCCTATAAGCCACCATTCTACTTTGCTTCTATGACTTTAACAACTTTAAATATCTCATATAAGTAGAATCATGAAGTATTTGTTCTTCTGTGACTAGTTTATTTCACTTACCATATTGTCCTCAAAATTCATTCATGTTGCTACATATCGCAAGATTTCTTTATTTTTATGGCTGAGTAATATTCTAGTGTAGTGTATATTACATTTTCTTTATCCATTCATGTGTTGATGGGCATTTAGGTTGCTTCCACATTTTGGCTATTGTGAATAATGCTGCAGTGAACACGGGAATGCCAATATCTCTTTAAGATCTTGATTTCAATTAGTTGAGATAAATACCCAGAAGTAGGATTATTGGATATTATAGTTATATTTTTAATTTTTTGAGGAAACTTAATGCTGTTTTTCATAAAGGTTGCACCATTTTACATTCTTACCAACAATGTACAAGGGTTCCAATTGTTTCACATCCTTGCCAACACGCGTTATTCTCTGTTTATTTTTGTTTTTTTTTAATAGCGATCCTAACACAAGATGATATCTCATTGTGATTTTGATTTGTATTTTTCTGATGATTAATGATACTGAGCATCTTTTTATATACCTGTTGGCCATTTCTATGTCTTCTTTGGAGGAATATATACTCAAGTGTGGGGAAAAGCAAGAGAGATCAGATTGTCACTCTGTCTGTGTAGAAAGAAGTAGACATGGGAGACTCCATTTTGTTATGTACTAAGAAAAATTCTTCTGCCTTGAGATTCTGTGACCTTACCCCCAACCCCGTGCTCTCTGAAACATGTGCTGTGTCAACTCAGGGTTAAATGGATTAAGGGCGGTGCAAGATGTGCTTTGTTAAACAGATGCTTGAAGGCAGCACGCTCCTTAAGAGTCATCACCACTCCCTAATCTCAAGTACCCAGGGACACAAACACTGCGGAAGGCCGCAGGGACCTCTGCCTAGGAAAGCCAGGTATTGTCCAAGGTTTCTCCCCATGTGATAGTCTGAAATATGGCCTCGTGGGAAGGGAAAGACCTGACCGTCCCCCAGCCCGACACCCGTAAAGGGTCTGTGCTGAGGAGGATTAGTATAAGAGGAAGGCATGCCTCTTGCAGTTGAGACAAGAGGAAGGCATCTGTCTCCTGCCCAGGAAGGCATCTGTCTCCTGCCCGTCCCTGGGCAATGGAATGTCTCGGTATAAAACCCGATTGTACGGTCCATCTACTGAGATAGCGAAAAACCGCCTTAGGGCTGGAGGTGGGACATGCGGGCAGCAATACTGCTTTGTAAAGCATTGAGATGTTTATGTGTATGCATATCTAAAAGCACAGCACTTAATCCTTTACCTTGTCTATGATGCAAAGACCTTTGTTCACGTGTTTGTCTGCTGACCCTCTCCCCACTATTGTCTTGTGACCCTGACACATCCCCCTCTCGGAGAAACACCCACGAATGATCAATAAATACTAAGGGAACTCAGAGGCTGGCGGGATCTTCCATATGCTGAACGCTGGTTCCCCGGGTCCCCTTATTTCTTTCTCTATACTTTGTCTCTGTGTCTTTTTCTTTTCCAAGTCTCTCGTTCCACCTTACGAGAAACACCCAAAGGTGTGGAGGGGCAACCCACCCCTTCACTCAAGTCCTTTGCCCATTAAATTTTTTTTTTTTTTTTTTTTTTTTTTTGCGACAGAGTCTTGCTCTGTTGCCAGGCTGGAGTGCAGTGGCGCGATCTTGGCTCACTGCAATCTCCGCCTCCTGGGTTTAAGTGATTCCCCTGCCTCAGCCTCCGGAGTAGCTGGGACTACATGCATGCACTACCACGCCCAGCTAATTTCTTGTATTTTAGTAGAGATGGGGTTTCACCATGTTGGCCAGGATGGTCTTGATCTCCTGACCTTGTGATCCACCCACCTCGGCCTCCCAAAGTGCTGGGATTACAGGCGTGAGCCACCATGCCCAGCCTAAATTTTTTTTGTTTGTTTGCTATTGAGTTCTAGAAGTTTCTTATATATTTTGGATATTAACCCCTTTTTAGATACATAGTTTGCAAATCTTTTCTCCCATTTCTTAGATTGCCTTTTCACTCTGTTGATTGTTTTCTTCACTGTGCATAAGGCTTTGTGTTTAGATCCACGACGTTCAGTCTCCTCATTAGTTTCCAGGTGGGACTGTATTGACTATCAAAGGGCTGAAGAACAACTTATCACCCAGAAATTGTCCATATAATACAAAGAGTCTTAGAAGATAAGAGCTATAAGATACTACTTGTCATTGTTTCATGGACCATAGAATCCCTGAGTAGATACTCAAAGAGCAATTAGTCATTTTATGCCTTGAGAAACATCTGCTATATGTTCAAAAAACTCAATATACCTTGTGGTTGAAGGAAACCTGATAATGGGTCTTGGGAGGTAAAGTGATTCTGCAATGAGGACATGATGACCAAATTGTTGTGGAGGAAAATATTTAGCAACTTTAGGAGAAAAGCCTTCTCCCCCTCAGAAGCCCATTGGCTCTGGGTCAGAGGTGTGGTAACTGAGTGAATTCCTGCCCTCAGAGAAAAGATTGCCTCCTGAAGAGAAATGATATTCCTGCATCACCAAACAGCAACTTCAGTTTCCCTTTAATCATGCCCCTTAGTTGATAAAAGCAGAGGGGGCTGATTGCTCAAAGGCTTTAAAAACGGTGGATGAAAAGCAGAATCCTTACAATAACATTTTTTTCCACATCCAATCAATCAGTTTTCGCTCTATACCTCCCACCATCCCCATTTAGGCAACAACACAGGGGCTCTTTGATTGTCTCACTAGGTTCTACAGCATGCTCAAAAATTCCTCAAAATCAATTGCCTTAATCCAAACAACTGGAAGAAAAAAAAGGAAGAAAGAAAAGGAAGGGAAAAAGAAAGGAAAGGAGGGAGGGACAGAAAATACAGAAAGTTAACATGTTCAAGGCCTGGGACTCACTGCCTTAGGAAACTATTGGTCAAGAGAAGCTTTTCTTCCCTGTAGCTAATTTGGAGGCAAAATGAGCACCATGTGAAAAAAGGCAAAACTGAAGATGTTCTGCCTACACAGGACTAAGTTCTCACAAGAGTAATGTTAAGTGCCATTTACTGCTTCAGGAGGACTTTGTTATTATTATTAATAACATGATTGTTATTCCAACTTATTCCAGGTCTCTTCTTTAGCATCACAAAACTCCCTGAAAATCACTTTTGTCTTCTTTGATCATTTCTGTACCTCTTCCGTTTTCTTTGCATTATAATACACAGGCTAACAATACAGTGTACTATAATTTTCCCCCATTGAAATATAACAACATCTCCTCTCTCCGAAAAGTAGACTGATGTGATTATTGAGTGGGTCTGGGTACTTTGTGCTTCATCTTTTCTTGCTGTAACAGACAGCCCTTTTTTATTCTTATGATAACTGAAACATTTGAACAATCATTGTCCTACAAAGGAGCTGATCTTGGAGCAATTGTGCTTTGTACCACTTCATCCCCTTTGGGAGCAAGATCATTTTTAAAATAATGACTTCTCCAGCAGTTTATTACCAGCCTGAAGTCATTTTCACACCTCAGAAGTGAAGGCTTAATGAGCAGAGAAATTAAAGAGTAAAACTCTGCTAGTGTCTTCTTAAATGGCAGCATTTTGGCACCTTAGTAGATGCACTCCCAAAGAGGAGCTGCGTCACATTCATCTTGTTCTCCAAATGACCTTTAGGTAATGAACCTCAAAGTTTTCTCTTCCCTGCCCCACAACTCTATCCCTTCTTTTCCATGCTGGAGGAGATATCTGGCTAGAAGATCAGGTGGTAAATAACGCAGTTGTGTTAGTATAATGAATTTACCTAGCACAATGCTGAAAACACTATTATTGAGCAATAAAATTTTCCTGATTGAGTAGTGGTCACACAGACCCTCACCACCACAGAAACTCCCTACTAAAAGTTGCAAATTCCTAGGCCTCTTTTAGAAATATGTTCAAGTACCACTTGTTCTTGTAACCCTTTCGAACTCTCCCAGTTAGTTGCTCTCTCTTTAATGCTCCTAGACTGCTTGGTTCTTATGTCTATTGTTTGTACATATTATTGTAATTATTGTGATTCTAATAGTCTATCTACATGTCTATCTTTCCCATCAGACCTTGAGTTCTGCAAAGACAGTGACCAAGCAGTGTTCATTTTTACATCTCTAATTCTCATTATAATGCTTAGCAAAAGTAGAAGCTCAGTAAATATTTGATAATATTTACTAAGTGAATAAAAGATGATTACAAAAATTCTTTTTAAATGAAAGATAATATTAGAGATTGTGTCCTTTGATTCAAAATAGAGCAATAAGCTTTTTGCAGTGGCTCATGCCTGTAATCCCAACACTTTGGGAGGCTGAGGCAGGTGGATCACTTGAGTTCAGGAGTTTCAGACTAGCATGGCCAACATGGCAAAACCTCGTCTCTACTAAAAATACGAAAATTAGCCAGGTGTGACAATATGCACCTGTAATCTCAACTACTCAAGAGGATAAGGCATGAGAATCACTTGAATCTGGTGGGTGGAATTTGCAGTGAGCTGAGATCATGCCACTGCACTCCAGCCTGGGTGACAGAGCAAGATTCCATCTCAAAAAAAAAAAAAAAAATTGAACAATAAAGACCAATAGATACATGTAAAGACTGACTATGCTCCACACGTGAATGACATGATTAGGTTAAAGGAAGAGAATTCAGCAGTCCACTTCCAAACTCTACAATAAAACTTCCCACATCCCTGCTATAATACAGATGCCCTGTGAAGCATTTGTGCAAATCTATTGGCTTTCCCACCTGGCCTAGAACAATCAAATCTATTTCTGGCTAAGAAATATGCTGTATGGGTATGATCAAATTGCCCAGAGTAAGAAAGTCAAATTAATGAAGTGGTAGAAATCAGTCTATATCAGTGGCTGATGAGCCAGCATCTGCCTACATAATTGCATATTTTGCTTGGTTAGATTTGAGATTCTTGTTGATATTTGGAACATTCTTCTCTTCCTGCTAATGTTGGTAATTGGAGTGCTAGATTTTGACTTCCAAATCTTTCATTCATTTCTTCTTTGTGACAGGGAAAGCCATAGAGGAAACAAGTGAAGAGAAAATAGTTATTTGGGGATGAGAGAAAATATAGGGTAAGGAGGGGAAATAGAAGAATGTGAGAGTCCTTCCACCAAAAGAACTTGGGAAGGTTGAGATCATCTCAAGATGATTGGCACCCAATTCTATTAACAAATATGGAAAGCATTTTTAACTAATTCCAGGTTTCACATGTTGTTTGTTGTGTGGGACTTACTGTCGTCAGAGGTTGATTCACTCCTTCTCTGCAGTAGATATGAGAGATGAGGCAATTTTATTTAGAAAAGCCAATGGAATTTAGCTGGTGTTTACTGTTTCATAAAGGAATAATGGATGAATTACCTAGCTAGACCCTATTGGGTAGAACTGTTAGTTAAAATTGACAAGCAGTCCTGTAATTTACACTGCAATTTGGAAATTTAAGCTGGGAGGCTCAGAGCTCTCTATTGTGCATTGTAAAGCTTCTTTTGTACTTCTGACTCATTTTGTGTTGGGAATCATTTAGCCATTGGCTTTAACTGCTAATACAGTTCCATCAAATACCAAATATAAATCAAAGTTACTGGATCATTCAAAATCTGTTGTCGGAGTTGTTTATATGTATTTTCTTCCACCACTAGTTTAGTATAGTTACAAGAGAAGCTGCTAAATTATGATATATTGTGCATGCCTTGTTGCCATCTTACTAGAGCCTCTTGCAAATAAGATGTAATCCATGACAAATTATTTTTCTAGTTATACAAAACATAAATAATGATAATAAAAAGGGAATCAAATTGATGAAAGAGGAAGAAGAGAGAGAGGAGAGAGGTTTCAAATAAATAGCTTTGTTTTGGGTCCTGGCTGTCCAAAACAAGTGAGAAAATAAAGGAGGAATTTTAAAACTCACCTTACCACACAGGGGCCTAAATTGCACTCTGCCTAGTCTAGCCTCCTAGAGAATGATAGAAAACTCTCACTGGTCACATATATAACCTTTTGTTTGAAATTGGGTCTACTCACTCTCAGCCTTGTATACAGAATCTGCATGTATCATTTGTAAAGTCATTGTACTCAAATAAATATTTACTGTGTACAAATGATCATGGATCATGAAGACAACAGTGGGAGAACCCCATCTTGGTGATTCCAGGTTCTCTAATATCCATACGATGTCAATGGGCCTCAGATGGTGAAAATCAATGTGACGTTCAATATGAGCAAATCAGCTATCTTATCTGAATCTTTGTTTTATGACATTTTAAATTGTAATTCAAAGGATAGACAGATAAATAAATTAGCATTAGATTTACTTACAGTGAATAAAGAAATATTGTGGTAGGAAGAAATTGCTAATGTCCCAACATAGTCTTTCTGCCTTTCTTTCCTGGCTTTTATTTCTAAAATTTCTACCAGGCATGCCTGGAGAATTCTGAAATCTACCTAGAAATGTCAACAGTGTCTTGTTAATAGAAGGCCTTACTCCTATCCTCTAGTTAAGTTATTATTTTCTCCCCTTGTGCCATAGATATCTTTGCAAATCTGTGTGATATTGGAAGACACAAAGAAAGCAACAAATCAAAAAATTCTATCTCAAGTCATCATGGTCATTAATCTTACATGAACACACTAAAATAAAAGATTTGAGAATGAGCATTTATCAAATCATACTTTGCCACGATTAGTGTTACAATACAAATATTACAGTGATAGATGAGACACTAACTGAACTCTAATGGTAGCATCCACAAGGACCATTAGAATTATATAATAACCAGACATATTTTGTTCAGATTCCAGAACTCAGGAACATCTTTTTTAAAAGGAAGTTTTGAAAACCATGTTGAGTCTTGTAAATTTGGATCGTCACTGCTGTATCCTCCCAGGCATCAACAATCAGCCGCTATCACAGGATGTTGGCACTCCAGGGCCCCAGATCAAATCAGCAAAGCAGTTTAGAAATCTAAGGAGAGAAAAGAGTCTTTGCAATTAAGAGTGTTCTACCCATTTACAGAATCAAATTTTCCAGGAACACAGCTTAGTATAAACCACGTTTCATGAACATTTCAACATAATATAACGAACACAAGTGTCTCAATGAAGCAGATAGCAGAGCAATTTGTACTAGCAGATGGTTCACCCTGGGATCAGAGCAATTATCTTCTTACTCTACATACAAGGGTAGCCAAAGATTCAACAGTTGACTATTCAAACAACTTAGCAATACAAGTGAATTTTTGAAGCACTAAAATAAATAGGATTTGCATCCTCTTCTCTCCACAAGCAAGTTCTGGAGAATGTTCAGAAGAATATAAGATGATTTCTTTTTTTTTTTTTTTTTTTTTTTTGAGAAAGAGTTTAGCTCTGTCACCTGGCATGAGAGCTCCCTGGGTCTCGAACACTGAGTTAATTTTATCACCTCAGAATTTCCTGAAGCAGTGCTTTACTCTCTGCTTCCAGAACAATTTAAGACTCTCTAAGATCTCCATGCCCACTCTGGTTCAACTGAGAAAAACAGGAACTCAAATGAGAACCAAAGTTCAAAGTAAGTATTTTTTTTTTAAAACACCTAGACACCAGTGCCAAGCATTGCCCTAATTACTTTGCAAATATTTAATTTAATCCTCCTTATATTCTATGAGATGTCTTACAGTCTCTTTTTTTTTTTTTTTTTTTTTTTGAGACAGAGACTCACTCTGTTGCCCGGGCTGGAGTCCAGTGGTGCGATCTCAGCTCACTGCAAGCTCCTCCTCCTGGGTTCATGCCATTCTCCTGCCTCAGCCTCCTGAGTAGCTAGGACTGCAGGCATGTGCCACCACACCTGGCTAATTTTTTGTATTTTTAGTAGAGATGGGGTTTCACTGTGTTAGCCAGGATGGTCTCGATCTCCTGACCTCGTGATCTGCCCTCCTAGGCCTCCCAAAGTGCTTGGATTACAGGCGTGAGCCACTGCGCCCAGCCCTTATGGTTTTCATTTTTATATGAGGAAACTAAGGCTGTTATTTTATCCTTTGGATTCTAGAATAAAAGCCTGACTATCCTTTTAATGTATTTTTATTATTTGCATCAAAAACATTTTCATCACTATTAGATCATCCAAGGAGATCTTTGTGCTTTTTCACAATTAGCTTTTATTTCATCTATAGTAATTTAACCCAAGATTATCAGGACAAGAAACCACATACTGAGGTAAGGTAATGGGATGGATATGAAGAGAAGGAAGAAAAAGGAAAAGGATCACCCAAGCACCACTGGTACTTATATTTAACTGATAAATTGGTTTCCTTACCTAGAAGATAAGCTTTTCACCCCATCTCTTGTAATGACAACAATAAAGTAAACAACATCAGCAACAACAAAACACATTTGTAGTAGAAGGGCTTGCTATGTGCCATTCATTGTTCAAAGTGCTCAATGTGTAACTTTTTTTTTTTTTTTTAGATAGGGTCTCGCTCTGTCACCAAGGCTGCAGTGCAATGGCTCAAGGTATAACATTAAATAAATTAACTCATTCACAAGAATTACCGAAGCACTCTCATATAGTCATCATTTCTATGTTGCTTTCTTTTATCTGAATAGTCACAGCTGAAATAATTTACCATAAAATTAAATACCAGTAATTTTTAGGACAAATATATTCATGGTTATTGATTTCTGAAATGCAAGTTTCAAACATGTCTCACATTAGAATTCCAGGCTTTATTTTTTTTACTACTCCAGGAAAAAGAGTTCGGAGTTCTTTTTTCCCTATTTTTCTGATAAGCTAGAGATATATGAATCACTTTATGGTAAAAGATTAGATGTCTTGAATCTGGATGTGCCCTACTTCCTACTTTTAAATGTCATTATTTAGAGAAATTCCTGTACCTATTCTGAAAGGGCTCAGGTGGCCCTGATGTAAGATTAAGTAATGTCATCTTATTTAATGATTTCAAAAGCATCAGGCATTAGATTTTCTTGCCAACTCACTAAACCTCTTCCTCATAATGATATTGGTAAAAAGTAGAACAGATGCATAACAGCTGGCTCATGAACTTCAACATCTCAGCCATTTCTTGGCAGTACTATCAATGTTTTTCCCTGAATACAAAACCTAATTGGTTAGCGTTGTACAACTCTGGGGGTAGAAGTCTTAAATACACTACTTAGTTATCGATTTTCAAATTATAATTCACACAATGGGTGGCAGATTCTTAGGCACTTACAGTTCAGTACTGCTTTATTTTCCATGAGTATAACTTGTAGGTTACAGAACTTTCCCTTAATTAGTTAGCCTGCAAAGAGTCATTTCTTTCCTAAGTTTTATCCAACAGTATTTTTTTATGGTTGAGTTGTAAAACCTTTGAAATATAATTTTATAATGGGAAGCGACAAACTCTAGTTTCAGTTCAACCATCTGCCTTTAATAAATACATGCTCCTTTCTTCCCTACAAACTCTGACATTTTCTTCCTATGACCCAAGGTGGAGAAAGAGAGAGAGAGAAAGGGAGACTGATTGTTTTTAAAAAGACTATTAGTAAATCAGCACTGTGAAAAAATAGTTATAATTGAAGCACATGTATCTCTGAGAAACAGTGCTAAGTCAGAAATCTACTTTTAAATGTGCTTTTCTAATATTTACTACTGTCTTCATTAATGGCTTTCCCGCATCTGAAGTCAAGGCAAGCTTTTCAGGACCACGGACAGAAACACACTACTACCCCTCTTGCACAAGCAGCAAACTCCTCATCGCATATGGCAACATGGGCTATTGAGTTTTGAATGACAGTTATATGCATTCATTTTCATTTTGGGGGGCCATCTGGTTTGTTCATACTGCTGGGATTTCAAAACTCAATGAAGATGGATATTGCCTAGGACACTTGATGCCTTCAGGCTGACCAGGGACAAATGTGCCTGTCTAATAAACAAAATACAGTACTATTAAAAATCACTGTGTCACCATATTTGCTAATAATTATGTTTTCCTTAATTCAATAATTTTGCATTTTAGGGGCAGAGTGACAGGATCCATCAACATTAGGTTTCTTCCTTGTTCCTTCAGGGAGATTGATAGAGCACCCACCAGCATCATTGGGCCCTATTTTATAACTGAATGCATTTCCTTCACATAAACTGTTCTGAGAACTGTGAAGAGAATGTTCAGGAGTGCCATGCTGTAAACTCAAAGTAGAAATAAAAGGGCAGAATCTGAAATGTGCCAAGCGGACATGTTAGAAGATAAAATGTAGACTCTTATTTATGAAAGAAATTAGCTTGGATACACTGTTCTTGAGGAAATTTATATCAAGAGATGTAGAGAAAGATATAAATATAGAGAGAAAATTATTACTTTATGTCAAATAGAAAAACTTAATGAATATGAAGATGAGTCAAGGAAACAGAATGAAGAGTACACTTTTTAAGATTTAATCACTTTATGTCTATCTATAAAATTTTGTCTCTAATTTTCCAATTTTGAGGAATGGATTACAATTTTACGCTTGTTGGATAGAGGTAAGTGAGGCATTGTGACTTTAAGATATTTATTAATAGATCACTCTTACTTTTTATCATAAAGTTTAGATTTTTTTCTAAAAATCAAAGAACATTTATTCAAATGTTCCTGGTTCCAGCAAGTAAAGTAATTCATCTGCTTTGCTCACTGCTGAATCTCTACTACATAAATGAGTATCTGGCAAATATTCAATACATATTTGTTAAATAAATAAACATTTCTGACTTCTGCCTTTTAAAGTTATATTAATCCTTAAATAAAGCATCTTCACTTACTTTTTAACTAAGTTTTCTCTGACTGCCTTCATCCCTGCTGAAGGTGGTATAGGGTCAGAAAGAGGGTGATCCCTTTCCTTCGAGGGTCACAGCTGACACCCCTATAACAAAGACAGGTTAACAAGAGAAAAGCATAACAGATATGCTCAATAACAGTTTTATATGACATGGGAGTCTTCAGAATGAAGACTCAAAGATACAGTTGAAGCTATCTGATGATATGCCTAGGTTTAACGAAGCTGGAACAACCATGTAGAAATGTGATGAGATAAAAAGGGTAAGCTCTAGTAGTAACAGACTGAGCGGGGAAACCTCAGCAAGGCCTGCCTGTTTAGATTCTTCTTGATCTCCCTGTTGTAGCATTTCTTCCCCCTAGGGATGGAGTAGATTCCTCTGGAATGAGGGTGATTTTTTTTACAGCTAGCTGTTTCACAGAAAGATGGGGGAAAGTTAGAGTAATATTTTTAAGCTTTATCGCTTTCTTTAGGGAAAAGGAGTCCTGGTTTCTATGAACCGCCTTGAGGAAGAGGAATTCTAGTTTCTGTGGCTAGCCTCAGGGGAGAATAATGCGTGAGAGACAAGAGGTCAGGAGAAGGGCAGAGAGAGACTTTTCTTCTGGGGTCTTCATGTTAGGGTATCATTTTCTGAACCCCAGCAATGGCATGTCTCTCCTTTAAATTCCCATAGTGCTGTGTGTGTGCCTTCCTTGTGGCACTTACATTATTCTGACTTGGAGCAAAGAAAGTTATGTAGGTATTTTATTTCCATTACTTGAATACAGTCTACAGGAGATTAGTAAGTGTGCAACCTGAGACCAGGCATGGTGGCTCACGCCTGTAATCCCAGCACTTTGGGAGGCTGAGGCAGGCGGATCACCTGAGGTCAGGTGTTTGAGACCAGCCTGACCAATATGGAGAAACCCTGGCTCTACTAAAAATACAAAATTAGCCAGGCGCGGTGGCACATGCCCCAGCTACTAGGGAGGCTGAGACAGGAGAATCGCTTGAACCCAGGAGGCGGAGGTTGCGGTGAGCCGAGATTGTGCCATTGCACTCCAGCTGGGCAACAAGAGCAAAACTCCGTCTCAAAAAAAAAAAAAAAAAAAAAAAAGTATGCAACTTGAACCTAGTAGGTGCTCAGTAAATGTATTTTTAATAGAATTAAAATTTTAGCTTCAATTCTCTGCACTGACCAGATATCCCAGAGAATTCCTTGCCCACAGCCCTCTTCTTGCTTTATGATAGCTGTCTTCCAGAATGGGCCAGGGCTCTGTCACCCACTTTTGTTTTTTTTCTTAGATGAAGTCTTGCTCTGTCACCCAGGCTGGAGTGCAGTGGCACAATCTTGGCTCACTGCAGCCTCTGCCCTCCATCACCCCCTTTTCTAAATAATAATAATAATAATAGCCAACATTCATTATTAAGCACTGATCTGACTCCTTTAACTTCATCTTCATTTTATTTTTGCACTATGGATTATTGTTATTCCATTTTATAACTGAAAAAAAATTGAGCTAAATAAAAGATAAATAAAACTTCACATAGCTTGTAATATAGCAAAGTGAGATCTGAAATCAGCTCTGTTTGATGACATGCAGGTCAAAAAAGGGATTTTGAAATTGGTGTCTAAACTAAAAGAAATAAAACCCATGAAACCCTTAGAGGAACATGTTAGAATCTTGAATTATCAAAATTTTAAAGTTCTAAAGCAAATGTTTTTAGATTTATCTACTTTCAAAACTTGCATGTGCTCAGAATATTTTTAAACACAGAAAAGATTTTATTCAGCCAATTTGACTGATGTTGATAATTTCATCATGACAAAAGCGGGGAGCTGCTATGTGCCATTTCTCAATTAAATGGTATTATTTGTTCTTTACATCACCCTTAGTTTTATTTATTCACATATACATATGCATCTCACATGACCCAAATACTAATTTTGCCTGCTATCACTGGCTTTCAGAGCTATGATTTCCAATAGAGGAAAGGACTAAGGAAAAAATCTTTAAAGCCTTCTGAAATGAAGTCTTTATTTATAAAGTTATGTAGCTGCATAACTGTTGCAGACAGATTTGTATTCAATGTATTTGGAGGCTTACGTGCATTTCTTCCTTCTGCCTTTGATCCCTCTTCTCCTAAAATGTATGCACTTATTCTCTGCTTACTTTAGGATTTCAATTCTGTCTTGGAGATACTGTCCTGATAGTCTGAGTCATTGGTCCTGTTCTCAATAAAGTATAGAAGATGGATAGCTTTACCACTTTCCTTCAGCTCTTATAAATCTAATAAATGGTTTCATCCATATTGCCTCTCTTGGAATCCTTCACATTGCCTTGGCTGGTTTCTGTTACAGATAAGAAAGGGGAATGTTTGCCAACCTTGATATTGATAAAACTGAAACAGCTACTCTAATAATTCTACATCTGTGCAACTTTATTCTTATTGTTCAGTGGGGAGTGAGTGCCATACCCTACATTAAAAAAAAAAAAAAAGCAATGTAGCCAGAGCAATAAGGAATCAGATATTGTCAGGTCATTTGGTGTCTACATTATTATGTGGGCTCCTGAGAGTTAAAAATGAGTTCATGGCAACTGTGGCAAAATCCTAGGGACAGCTCTTTCCTCCAGACAGACAAGACGAGAAGAGACAAACTTTCTGAAATTGTCCAATTTTTTTTGTTGAAAAACAGGGAAACTGCTTCATCAGAATGAACTTCCTATGAGTAATCATTTCTAAAATTAGGAGACACAATATGCTTCAGCATAAGAAATAAATCACAAGAACCAGACCCTAAGCAAGAAATGTTTTATTTGCTTTACCCCAAGTCTCACTTATTTTATATTTTGTTTAAGCATATGCTTTGCAAAATTAATTTCTCCCCTCACACTCTCCATAAGGACTCTTCGCAGATGTAGTGATGATTTTTCAACCCCCACGAAACTGAATTAGGTTATTTTAGACCTGAAAGCGTTTTCAAAAATTATTATTATTAAAGGCAAGTAAGAGCAAAACAAAAAGAAAATTTTTAAAAGCTATTTGTTAACCTGCCCTGACTGCTCTTTAAGTACACTGAGATAATTTACAAACGTAAATCATGCTAGAAAATGCAATCATGCCATGAGTTTAATAGAACTCTTGGCCAGGTGCGGTGGCTCACACCTGTAATCCCAGCACTGTGGGAGGCTGAGGAGGGTGGATCAGGAGGTCAGGAGATCGATGGCCAATATGGTGAAACTCCATCTCTACTAAAATACAAAAAAAAAAAAAATTAGCCTGGCATGGTGGTGCATACCTGTAGTCCCAGCTACTCGGACGGCTGAGGCAGGGGAATCACTTGAACCCAGGAGGCAGAGGTTGCAGTGAGCTGAGATTGTGCCACTGCACTCCAGCCTGGCGACAGAGCAAGACTCCGTCTCAAAAACAAAAAAGAACTCTCACTGCTTATACATTTACATTATTGATATGCTTCTTGATCATGTCTTCTGGAATTTTCAAAGTCCTCAAAGACATTTTTTATGTCTCTTATGTTTAAAAAAATTAAGATAAGCCTTACTGGGGTCTACCTGGTACACCACAAGTGAGGACAATATCTTTGTGTTGTTCTGAATTATCAGAGCACAATAAACCTTTAAGGAAGCCCAACACACTCACATTTACCAGTTGGTTTCTCACTGACAACAGTAGAGCAGGCCCAGCTGTTCCCAGCAGCTGTTTGGTGTAGAACTGCCTAAGCCGAAATGCCTTCCAGCTGATGGTGGTCCCCAGGAGCCAGAAGACAGTCACCAAGCATAGGAATGGAGGCCAGTTCCAAAGGGAGAGAAACCCAAAGCCTAGAGAACTAAGGAAACCACTCCCATCCTACCTTTACCCCTTAAAGGAAAACAGAACTCTGTAAACCTGTTCATTCCCAGCCTGCCCTCTCAAGGGCTTCACCTTTATAATGAGCTAGACTGGAAGAGGAGATTTCATTTCGTTCCAAATGAATTATCATTATAATAGGCATCTAGGCTGCCCATCAAAGATCCCAGAACTGGGGTAGCAGGAAAGTGGAGTGGGTAAGAGGAGAGGGGAGAAATTTACATACAGAGATAAGCATGGACACTGATTAAGAGAACACACTTTTGCTTCAAAAAGACATGAACTCCGCACAGGTCACCTGCCTGTTAAGTATATACAGTGTGTGCTTATTTGATGATGAAAATCAGAGGATGGCTATTTGAATGGAAATGAATTTTAATAAGCGTTTGAGGCAGAAGCAGCAACCCTTCATTCTCCCTTCTATCACCAGGCACCTTCTTGACCATCATTACCACAGAGGAAAGAATGCTGGCATGCTAATCATCCAGTGAAGAATGCTCTCTATCCTCCTCAGTCTTTGTGGGTGTTCATTAACCTTGTGGGCTCCTTAGCCAGCAGAGCACAGCTGTCCCAGGGAAATTTCCATATCCCTTAAGAAAAGCAGGATGTCAGTTAGCGTTCAGGGATCCAGCCTATAGAAAAAAGTGGGAGAAATCTCCCTGAGGAATGAAAGCAAGACTACTAGCGTTTAGCACTTATGTTGCACTATTTTAAAACTTGCAAAATTTTGGACTGACTTTGCACTTTTATAAAATTAAGTATAGTATGGTTATTTATTACTCTTTTTGAAAAAAATCTGGACAGACGAAAGAATTATCCTAGTATTGTAAACTCTCATCTCTGCTTCCAGGCTGAAATGAAAGCGAAAATAAACACCCTTGGATTATCTATCTTTTATTGGTACTTAAACATACAAGACAGCACGGAAGCATTCCAGTGACCTTAAGAGGTCATGAAATCTATCCTCTTACTCCAAACAAAATCACTTAAAATTTCTCTGACAACACAATCAATTAAATATATTTTCAAAGAACTTTCACCTGAAAATGTCAGTCATTTGGGAAACCGCGGGTTCTCTAGCAACTGCCTTTTCCCAAAGTCCACACTAATTCCTGTAGTTATTGTTGTTGTTATTGTTTTTCTTCTGTGCACAAATCCTAAGTTTGTAAGGTCATTGACCCTAAGTTGGTCCAAGCTCATTAAGCCTGACCTTAAAGGCACTACCAGCACAGTTGAATCTCTTCTCAAAAACTTGGCAACAGACTTTTTTATTTTTCCCTCCATGACCATCTCTAATGGGTCATTAAAGTCAGCAAGTCTTTTCTGGTTTATTTAATACTAAATTGTGGTTTTTTTTTTCTTTTTTTTTTTGAGATGGAGTCTCGCTCTGTCGCCCAGGCTGGAGTGCAGTGGTGGGATCTCGGCTCACTGCAACCTCTGCCTCCCGGGTTCAAGCAATTCTCCTGCCTCAGTCTCTCGAGTAGCTGGGATTATAGGCATGCGCCACCATGCCTGTAATCCATGCTAATGTTTTTGTATTTTTAGTGAGATGGGGTTTCACCATGTTGGCCAGGCTGGTCTCAAACTCCTGACCTTGTGATCCGCCCGCCTCAGCCTCCCAAAGTGCTGGGATTACAGGCATGAGCCACGGCAACTGGCCTTTAAATTATGCATTTTTATGATAGAAAGAAAAAATACTTCAATTGCCTAATAGTGGAATATCTAATGTCTTTAATATCAAGAAGTAAATATTGCCATCAGCAAAAGCTGTGAGCTCTCTGCAATCTACATATTGTAGTGTTAGAGACAACGTCACTGACTGGGCTCTCGACAAAAGCATTGGAGAAAGAAGGGGATCCGGCATATTCTAGTAAGCTTTTCCTCTCCTAATCCTAAGCAAGTAAGTGTTGCATTCTTAAACACATTTGCAAATGGATGTCTACAGATAGGCCTGTTAACCACAGAGTTTTTTTAATTTGAGGATTTACCTTACGGGAATTAAGACTTAATCACTGAGATTTTACCATGCAGTCTTCAACATCCCTGTAATGTTTTTACTAAACCTCAAACTAATGTAGAATAAAGCAAGAGATAGCAAGCACAAAGGGATCCCCACCAAAATGTAAAAAAAAAAAAAATCAATTGCCCCCCACCATGGAAAACTTAAATTAAACTCTGTCTTCCTTTTTACTAGAAAGATGCTTTAAAAAATTTAGCAAATTTAATTAAGTTGTTCTCTTTTACCTGCTTTTCCTCTTGAGCAACTGTTTTACTGACCCTGCCCCTCAGGTCCCAGAAGTGAGGAGGGTAGAATGCCAAAGAGCTGGGGCTGGGCTCAGAAAGGTCTCAGCCATTTCCTCCCCATTATCGCTCTGTTCAGCTGCTCAGGCTCTGACAGCCTAACAAGGTGCTAATGGGCCATACGTTCTAGCCCAGTTCACAGCAGGTTGTTTCAAATGAGTTGAGGAGGTTGATTTGCATTCAAAATCTTCTCTCCCTCACTTGCTTTTTTGTTTGGCCCCTTGATTTCTACTCCCCAGACACCCTTCGAGGTTGACTTAGAATGGAACAAAATCACATTGGTTCAGAATTTGAATTGCCTGAGTTTGGATTTTAAATGTGCCCCATTATTTCATCAAGTTGTGGTGGAGTGGGGAGGAGTGAAGGGAAAGAAAAGAGAGCAAAGAGATTTTAAAATGAAAGGGAGAGATGATGACAGATGGATGCAAATGTTCCTTTTAAGTGGAGAGGAGCAGCTGATGTAGGGGCATGAAATTGAATTAGTACATCTGTGGCTGGATGTGTGTCATTCAGCTTCGTATTTTCTACTCCACAGGAGTTTGGTTACCTCGTGATGAATGAGTTCACTTTCACAGGGCCAGGAATACTTCCCTGCACACAAGATGGAGACCCTTTTCTTCAAAGGGGAGCTGCCTGTGGAAAAGCCTATCACACCAGGGCAGCCCTCTAACATTTTGATATGTATCACCCCTGGAAGGAGGGGTTGGCAATCTTTGAAACTCTAGTTCCTAAAGTCAAAGGGAGGTAGGAGGGATATGAAATAGAAGTCAGCACGTTTTCCAAGGAGACCGTGTTTATGAGTGACCTGCGGTGTGCTGGCAAGTGAACAATCTGCTTCTGAAAACCCTGCCCGCGTGCGCTCAAAGTGCTCAGGATCCGTAAATGTTTACAACCACTTCCAGGGAGTAATGGGATGAGGCTGTTTCTTCAGGACCAGGCTCCAGGGGTGCTCCCCAAAAATAACCAACACAAGTTTCCCCTTCCCTTTTGAAAGCCCAGCAGTCCTCCAGCTTCAGGGCCACTGCCAGGAAGGTTTATGGCTCCATTCTGCTCCTAGCTCTATATTTTTCTCTACTTCATCTTGGATCTCACTTCCCATTCTTTTGAAGGAAACCAAAATATTTCACCCCAAAATATACTTCTTTGATATATTTTAAGATAGCTATTTAGAAGGGCTGGAAATACAAGAATAACTGAAAAGCTGTCTTTTCGGGGGAGATTTGCATCTGTAGAGTTAATCCACATTGATTCAGCCAGGCTTCTTCAGATACCCTTCCTTGTCTAGATCTAGGCAAGATTCAATAAAAGTCTGACACCTTTAAAGGTCTGAAAGAAACATTTACCATCTATTCTCTTAGAGGATTGCTACCTGTGTAGAGTATTGCTACCTGTAGAGATTGCTCCCTGTTAGAGGATTTCACCTGTATAACAAGGCCATCTTTGCTAGCCAGGCCCCCTCTGATGAGCTGTCTTGCCACTATCAACTGATTTACCAACCATAACATGTTTTTGGCCCTACTCCAAGCCCCCATTCTTTTTGTAACTTCAAGGTGGTATAAAAGCATCAACCATCTGGTCATTTCTTTGCGATCTTATATTTTGTAAGACTCCTGTGCATGTTAATAAATTTGTATACCTTTTCTCCTATTAATCTGCCTTTTGTCACTAGATTCTCTGCAAAACTTCAGAGGCCAAAAGTTTTCCCTTGGGCCCTAAACTCTCTTTTGCCCCAGAGCTAAAAATCTAAGACAGTTGTTCCCCATCCAGTAAAGCCTAAGTCACAAGCCTAATTGTCACAGCCTTGCTTTGTAAAAACCAAATAAATGAAGAGAGCATTGTTACTCAGAACCAGTTACATGAGACTTAAATTAAAAAACTGTGTAAAGCAAAAGTTAATTTCTGGATATTTGCAACAGACCTGGGAATCATCTTTGCCCATTGGTCAGGGCAGTATTGAAACTCTGCTCATGGAGTTAACGAGAATTACATGCCAGCTTCTGGAAAAAAATATAATTATCATTAAACATCAATCAGACTGCACTCTGGCCTACTTCCTTATAACTGAAAATCATGTAACACTAGATACTGACAATTTACCTTCCCATTGTTTGTATAGATGGGATTTCTGATGTTAAAATCATAAGGCTTTAGTTTAAGAATTGATTTACATCCCCATTGTTCCCGTTAGCAGCGGAGAACCCATCTGGGTCTGCAGCAACTCAATTCTCGACTTCTCGAGGGGAAAGAATTCAGCTGAGCGGCATAATGCAGAGTCAGAGACCAAGACAAGTTTTTGAGCAGGAATGAAAGTTTATTAAAAAATATTAGAGCAAGAACAAAAGGAGAAAAGTGCACTTGGAAGAGGGCCAAGTAGGCCACTTGAGAAATCCAAGGGTGCCGTCTGACCCTTGCCCTGGGCATGGGTCTGGGGTTTGCATTTCTTCTTCCTTAATTTTTCCTTGGGATGGGCTGTCCACATGCACGGTGGCCTGCCAACACTTGGGAGGGGCCACATGCAGTGTATTTACTGAAGTTGTGCACATGCTCACTTGAGGCGTTTTTCCTTTATCAGTCGAGTCTTCCTAGGGGAAGGTCTTATACTGGTTAAACTCTGCCATTTTGCCTCTTAGTGCACATGCTTGAGCCCATTCACCCAACTCCTGAGATCGTACTGGGAAGCTGCTGATCACCAGCTTCAGGTGTTTTCTGTCTGTTGGGAGACTGCCTTTCCTTGACACCAGCTACAACCAATTATTATTTTAGAGAAACAATTTAACAACTGCCTGACCATCACTTGATGGTCACCTGACATTTCTGGCAAATTGCCCTGCTCTTGCCCTGCTCTTGTTTGCCTAACTATCTACTCTATCATTCTTAAAGATAAGACCACTGATGTTAGAATGAAAGACTTGTTTAAAAATGCTTAAGACGTTTATCAGGCTTGGAATTCCAGTGAAGCAGCTGACACCAACCAGTTTAAAGACCTCCACAGAAAAATCAAATCAGTATAAAATACAGTTTCATCACTTCCCTGTCCCATGACTGCACCCTACATTCTTTCATCAATCAACAATCCCCACACCTCAACCCATTGCAAACCCCTTAAAATCCCTAGCCCCAAACTCTCTGAGGAGGAGGATTTGAGGTTTCCTACCATCTTTTCATTTTGCTGCCCTATGATATTTAAACTTTCTCTGCTACAACCCTTGGTATCAGTGTACTGACTTGCCACAGCTCAGGCAATGGAACTGTTAAGGTCACAGTATTCTACGAGTGGTCCCCAAAATGTCTCAGAGAATCAGTGTTGTTTTTTAAATATTTTAAAATCTTTTTTATTTTTATTATTATTTTTTTTGAGATAAAGTCTCGCTCTGTCGCCCAGGCTGGAGTGCAATGGCGCGATCTCAGCTCACTATAACCTCCACCTCCCAGGTTCAAGCGATTCTTCTGTCTCAGCCTCCTGGGTAGCTGGGAATTACAGGCACACACCACCATGCCTGGCTAATTTTTGTATTTTTAGTAGAGATGGGGTTTCACCACGTTGATCAGGCTGGTCCCAAACTCCCGACCTCGTGATCCGCCTGCCTTGGCCTCCCACAGTGCTGGGATTACAGGCATGAGCCACTGTGCCCGGCCTAAAATCTTAAAAAAATTTTTTTTTAGTGACAGGGTCTCACTCTGCTGGCCAGGTTGGAGTGCAGTGGCACGATCATTGTTCACTGCAGCCTTGAACTCCTGGGCTCAAGTGATGCTCCTGAATTGGCTTCCCTAAGTGCTAGGATTACAGATATGAGCCACCCCAAACTGCCTGATATGTTAAATTCTAATCTCCAGTGTGATGATATTTGGAGGTGGGGCCTTTGGGAGGTGATTAGGTCATGAGGGTGAAGTCCTCATAAATGAATTTATAAGAAGAGGCCAGAGAGCTAGCTTGCTTGCTTTCAGCTATGTGAGGACACAACAAGAAAGTGGTAGTCTGCAACCTGAAAGACAGCCTTCACCAGAACCTGACCATGCTGGCAGCCTGATCTTGGACTTCTAGCCTGCAGAACTGTAAGAAATGAATTTCTGTTGTTTATAAGCCACCCAGTTAAGAAAAAAAATAAATAAATAAGGCAGTCTGGGCCCTGTGAAGTATGCAAAACTTACCAGGCCCAGAAAGATGTGAATATAGGACTTCAGTAGGAGGGGGCACGTCCATGCCCAGGGCTGACTGTTTAACGGCATCTTTGCCCCCGACTGGCTGCCTCTCCCATTATCTTCATGTTCCTGGAATCTGTGATATACAGTACAATGCAGAGCCAATCAATAGCTTAGGTTATTTCTATGTAAATTATTAGTAAATAATAGAGGAACTGCCTCTTCTTTTTTTCTTGAAAATCCACTTGTAACTGCTGCTAATCAAAGTGTATATTCACAGCAACTTAAATCTATGTTTCTGGGTGGCCATCGTCAAGCTCTGGGGTCAAATAAACTCTATACTTAATCATATTTTCTGAATCTCATTATTGAAAGTTGACATAGTCTATGGTACTTTGTTATAATAGCCTGAACTAAAACAATCACAAATAAAGTTTGTGTTTTCTTTTTTAAAGACATTATCCCTTGTCAACTCAAATCCATTAAAAAATAAGAAAAACAATTAACGTAAAAGTATCATCGTGATAATAATTTCTTATCTAGGTAAAAGAGCCACTGAAGCCTCTTTAACCCACTGAACTGTTTCACGGACTTGAAAATCAAGCTGAAGACTCATATATTTTTTTTTAACTGTTCTTACCTTGGTAAGCAAAAGCAAAATGAGGAAAAAGGCATGTCTATTCCCTACAGACCCCAAAATTTTCTGAAAAAGACCTCCAAATGGGGTTTGTCTATCAAGTGCATAAAGTTGAAGGAGGCCAAGGTGTTGCTATTCACATCATCGGCTTAAGTTAGCACACACCATGTGGTCTTTCTTTAGGCAATTTTCGAGTTGTCTCCTTGGATGCCTTACGCTAGAAGTGCATACACAACAAAAATGAGGAATGTATAATATCTAGGGAAAGGGAAGAAGAAAGAGGGAGTCAGTCCCCTGCAAATCCATTGACGTGAGGCATTCTTCCTGGATGGTCCTTCACCTTACATTTGCTTCATGTTGTCCCTTACAGCCCAGGCAAATTCTCCACAGCATTTTGCCCATAAGATCATTACCACATTGCTTGGTTCCCCTTTCAGAGATGATTAGTCAGCCAGTCCATATTTAGCTCCTGTTGCTATTTCCCGGCCAAGTCTTTCATTCCCTAAACATTTCTGATGTGGTTCTTGGAACTGTATTCAATGTGCTAAGCCTCGGCTGCCCCAAGCAGAATGCCTTGTCCATCTGTGCCCAGAAGATGCTTGCATTGTTTTCCATCAATCTCTCTCTCTCCAAAGGAATTAGATGAGAAAGGATGTCTTACTGCATTGTTGCCAGTGTTCCATAACAAGAATCCTTGGGGTGGCTCTCAATAAGAAAAAATCAAGCCTGAGTTAGAAAGCCATAATTGCATTGCTTTCAGTAGGCAAGACTAGACAGATATAGCACTGTGATATATGCAGGGTATATCCTGGATTTTTTTCTCACCTCCTCCTGCAGAGCATTCCTTCTTGCTCTAGCAACCCCAGTGTGATGGTTAATTTTAGGTGTCAACTTGACTGGATTAAAAGATACCCAGATAGATGGTAAAGCATTCTTTCTGGGTATGTCTATGAGGGTGTTTACAGAAAAGAGGCACTAGGGTCAGTGGCCTGAGTAAGGAGGATCAACCCTCACCCAATGTGGGCAGGCACCAAACAATTGGTTCAGTGTCTGGATAGAACAATGAGGTCAGAGGAAAGATGAATTTTCCTGTCTTCTGGAGCTGGAACACTCATCTTCTGTTACTCTTGGACATCCAGGTTCTTTGGCCTTTGGACTCTAAGACTTGCACCACTGGCTTCCCAAGTTCTTGGGCCTTTAAACTTGGACTGAGCAATGCTATCAGCTTCCTTTGTTCTCCAGCTTGCAGATAGCATATGGTGGGACTTCTCAGCCTCCATATTTGTGTGAGCCAATTTCCATAATAAATCCTCTCTCAAACATTTCTGTTGATCCTATTGGTTCTGTTTCTCTGAAGATCTATAACTAATATACCCAGTTCCTTGCACTGTTCCCACAGGTTCCTATAACCAACCCCACCACTTTTGCTGTTTCTGCCCTCTAGGAATTTTTTACTGCTTCTTCCCCCATCAAAATTGGACTTTCTTCTATTTAATGTCAATTTTTCTTAATTATGGTAAAGTAATTCACATAACAGCAGTTTATCTCGTTGTCTCACCTGATGTGACAAATGAATGAGAATCCAAAAGAATGATTGTAATGGAATTTTGGGCCCTCATGGGCCACCGTTGAGGTGTTTTTTATATAAAGTTTGAATATATGTCCCTGCCAAATCTCATGTTGAATTATAATCCCCAGTGTTTGAGGTGGAGCCTGATAGAAAGTGTTTTGGTCATGGGGGGTGGATTCCTTATGGCTTGGTGCTGTCCTTGCAATAGTGAGTGAGTACACATGAGATTTGATTAAGTGTGTAACACCTCCCTCCACTACCCTCTCTTGCACCTGCTTCTGCCATGAAACACCTGCTCCTGTTTCCACCTTCCACTATGATTGTAAGTTTCCTGAGGCCTCCCCAGAAGCAGATTCTGGCACCATGCTTCCTGTACAGCCTACAGAACCATGTGCTAACTAAACCCCTTTTCTTATAAATTACCCAGTCACAGGTATTTCTTTATAGCAATGTAAAAACGGCCTAACACATTTTTAAAAGGAGCAACTATGTTGACACTTTCTTCACAGCACATAAAGAAAACACCTACCCCCCATCCAATAGGGTTTCCATAATTATTTGCTTATTTAATTTTTTTAAATAGGAGATGAAACTTTCTACTATGATTCCTGCTATCTCAAGTTGAACCGTACCTATAGATACCAAGATTTATTTGATAGTGAAACAAGCATGTAGAGCAAGCATATGGCAACATTTTAGATAATCTTTTCTCAAACATTACTATACATGAGAATCACCTGGGAATCTTGCTAAAATACAGATTTTGATTTACTAGGTCTGTGGAGGAGCCTGAGATTCTGCTCTGAGGTGATGCCTATGCCACTGATACCTGGTCTATACATCAAAGAGTAAGGATCTATAGGGTGAGGGCAGAACTTGGAATGAAAGAAAGGGAAGATGAGATCATTTCTAAATAATTTCCTGGAAGAAATGGAAATAGGAGATGTCATTGACTTAAACATAAAATATAGCAGACTATTAAGATCCTCTAAGGAAGAGCCTGCTGTACTGATTCCATTTTTTTTTTTTTTTTTACCATTTAGTCTTAATTCACCTGCATTTATAGTACATTTATTTATTTGACAAATACTCATTATACTTATGTGTTCCATGGGTAGTGCAAGTCATTGAGGAGAAAGGTAGTCAAGGTTGGCATCATTTTCACAAACACAGAGCTGAGAGAATATACTAAAAGCTATGTAAAGGAAGAATATACCAAAAGCTATGTAAAGGAAGAATAATAGTTAAATTTTATCCCATAATCAGATATATACAAAATGGCCATTTAACAAAAGGCTAATTTCTGAATTCAGTTGCTTTTTTTACCTCTCAAATCAATCTGAATGATCATAAGGTAGAATTTTATCATTAATGCTTAGTGAAGAAGTTGTACATGTAGTACATTTTCTTCTTCCGAACCACACCTCACAAATTCCCACAGCTCAGAACTATAGAAGATGCCCTCCAAAGAGGTGAAATTTATTTTGAAACTTATTCATGTATGTATAAATTAACTCATTGGAAATCATTTGTGGCATGTCAACTTTGTGTCATACTGCACTCAGTATTCGGGCCCAGAGATGAAAGTACATAGTAATTGTGTTCAAGGAGCTCAGCTGGAGGTATTTTAATTTGAACACAATCTGGCAGTAAAGTCAGACCATTGTCATACTTAACAGCACGGTAAAACTGACAGTTTCAGTGATCCTGAGGAGAGTTTCTGGTCCAACTGAGCTTGGAGCCTATGATTTCGGAAGACCTCACAAGTATCTCAGGAAGTATACACCATGACCAAATGGGAAAAATCCCAAAAATGCCAAGTTAGCTCAACATATAAAAATCAGTCCATGCAATATGCTATATTAATAAAAAATTTAAAACCACATGATTACTACAATCAATGCAGAGAAAATATTTGACAAAACCCAACAATCTTTTATGAAATAAAAACAAACAGCAAACTAAGAGTAGAGGGGAATTTCCTCAACCTGATTATGGTCATCTAAGGAAAACTCACAAGTAATATTATACTTAATAAAGACTGAATGCTTTCCTTCTAATATTGGAAAGATGACAAGGATGTCTACTCTTGCTACCTCTATTCAATACTGTACTGAAGAGTCTAGCCAGGGAAAGTAGGCAATAAAAGGGAATAAAAGTTATCCAGACTGAAAAAAAAATAAAACTATCTCTTATATGTGGGAAGTATTAAGAAATATATATGCATGCACACACACACATGAACACACACAAATTATTAGTACTTATAGACAACCACTGCAAGGTTACAGGACACAAGATAAACATGCAAAGTCAATTGTACAGTCTACACACTCACAGTGAACAATCTGCATATAAAATTAGGAAAACAATTTTATTGACAAAAACATCAAAAAGAAGAGAATACAAATAAATTAACAGAAGAAGTGCAAGATTTATAAACTAAAAACTACAAAACATAATCAAAAGAAATAAAAGAAGACCAAAATAAATGGAAAAATAGGCCATGTTCACAGACTAAAGACCTAATATTGTTAACATGGCAACATTCCCCTAACTGATCTACAGATTTAATGCAATCTCTACCATAATTCCAGCTGGCTTTTTTGCAGAAATTGACAAATGGATTCTATGATTTGCAAGAGATCTAGAATAAGCAAAGCAATTTTGAAAACAAAACAAAGTTTGAGGTCTCATACTCCCTATTTCCAAAACCATTTAAAAAAAGAATTATAGAACAAAATAGAGCTATAATCATTAGGACAATGTGATACTGACATAAGGAAAGACATGTAGATCAATGAAATAAAAGTGAGAGTTTTGAAATAAAACCTCAAATTTATGGTAAACTAATATTATTTTACAAGGGTGCCAAGGCAATTCAACGGAAAAAGAGCCATCTTTTCAACAAATGGTGCTGACACAAATGTTTATCTGTACGCAAAAGAATGAAGTAGGACCCCTACCTCACACCATATACTAAATTAAATTGGAGCAAACATCTAAATGTTAAAGTCAAAATTCTAAAACTCTTAGAGGAAAACATAAACATAAACCTTTATGACTTTGGATTAAGAAAGCATTTCTTCAATATGACACCAAAAAACAAGCAACAATGACAAAAACAGAAACAGACAAATTCAACTTTATCAAAATTTAAAATTTTTGCATTTTAAAGTACACTATTAAAATAGTGAAAAGACAACCCATAGAATGAGAGAAAATATTTACAAATCATATATCTGATAAAGGACTTCTTTGCAGACTGTATAACAAACTCTTACAACTCAACAATAAAAAATAAATGACCCAATTTTCAAATGGGGAAAGTATCTGAACAGACATTTCTCCAAAAATACACAGATGGACAATAAGCAATAAAACTTTGCTCAACATTACTATTCATTAGGGAAATAAAATCAAAACTACAATGAGATATGACATCACTCCCACTAGGATGGCTATAATAATAATAATAATACTTTTTTTTTTTTTTGAGACGGAGTCTCGCTCTGTCATCCAGGCTGGAGTGCAGTGGCATGATCTCAGCTCACTGCAAGATCCACCTCCCGGATTCATGCCATTCTCCTGCCTCAGCCTCCCAAGTAGCTGGGACTACAGGTGCCTGCCACCATGCCCGGCTAATTTTTTGTATTTTTAGTAAAGATGGGGTTTCACCATGTTAGCCAGGATGGTCTAGATCTCCTGACCTCATGATCTGCCCATCTTGGCCTCCTAAAGTCCTGGGATTACAGGTGTGAGCCACTGCACCCAGCCAATAATAATAATTTTTTAAAGCAACTAGCATTGGCAAGAATATGAAGAACTGAAACACTCATACATTACTAATGAAAATGTAGAATGGTACAACCACTTTGGAAACAGTTTGGTATTTCCTTAAACAAAGAGTTGCCATATGATCCAGCATTTACCCAAAAGAATTGAAAATATATGTCTACAGATAAACTTGTACACAAATGTTCACAGTAGCATTATTCGTCATAGCCAAAAAGTTGAAACAACCCAAATGTTCATCAACTGATAAATGGATAAACAAAATGTGGTAAATCCCTACAATGAAATATTAATCAGCCACAAAAGGGAAAGAAATACTGATACAGGATATAACATAAATGAACTTTTATGTAGTAAACAATTTAACTTCACTCAAAGCATGGTCTGACATTTGCCCTTGACTCCTGGGAGGTAATCTCCAGGCCCTTGGAATGTCCTGTCTGAAAAAATATCTTTGTTTGCCTGGGATCCTTGGGCCAGCCAGATACTAACAATCTAATTTAGGGTGAGGGCTTTGGGGCATGTGGTATCAGTTGACCTCCAGAAAGAAAGTCTGAAGACTGAAGTCAGCCATGTGAGCAGCCAGCCAGGTTTATGTGATCAAGCTCCAATAAAGACCTGGACACCAAGGCTCTGGTGTACTTCCCTAGCTGGCAATATTCCATGGGTACAGTCACATATTGATACCAGAAAACTAATGGCATTGGCAAGAATATGAAGCATTCTTGCCAAAGCTGTCCATGACTCATGAGTAAAGAACAACTGGCAGTTTTGCTTTTGGTACTTTTTTGAACTCTGTTCTATGCACCTCTTCCTCTGGCTGATTCTAATCTGTATCCTTTAGCTGTAATAAACCATAATCATGAGCATAATAGCTTTCAGTGAGTTTTGTGGGGTTTTATCTTGATGGTCTTGGGAATCACCAAACTTGCAATTAGTATCAGAAGAAAGAGTGGTCTTACAGACTGTTCCTCTAACTTCTGAACTTTGAAAACATTATGGTAAGTGAAAGAAGCTAGATACAAACGTTATGCATTTTAATACATTTTAAGGAAATGTTCAAAATAGGCAACTACGTAGAAAAAGAAAGTAGATTAGTGATTGCCAGGGGCTGAGAAAGAAGAAAACGAGGAGTGACTGTTAAAGGATATGGGTTTCTTTCAGGAGTGAGGAAAATGTTCTAGAATTAGATAGTGTTGATGGTTGCACAACTGTGTTAGTACACTAAAGCCTACTAAATTGTACACTTTAAAGGAGTGAATTTTGTGATACATGAATTACATCTTTTTTAAAAAGCTTAGTATTTGTGCCCCATAGATTTCCTTTGACCAGGCCCAGAGATAAAAAAGAAAAGGGGGATTGACTGGAGCTGGTAATTTAGTTACCCCAAATGCACTAATAAGCCAAGTCTTGCTAGGGGAATAATTCCTTAGCATGCCTCTATGTGACTTCTCAGGAGAGGCTTCAGTGGATGAGGGACTAGGGGAGCAGAAGTAACAAACAGAAGCTAACAGCCTTGGGCTCTGCTCTTCATCTCACACATACCCTCTGGATAGACAGTAAAATTCAGTGTCAGTTTCTCCATAAAAATTTCCTGTTTAGAAAAAAACCACCTCTTCTGCTTTCTTTTCTCATTAAAATGTCACTTCTAAGTCATTTAGAAAGGGTCAGGTTGCATGTTGGCTCAAAAACCTTTGACAGCTACTGTAATTGCCTAGAGGTTAATAACAGTGATGTCTCTCACAAGTTCAATTTTGAAGTTTCTGCCAAGCCATTACATGTAACCAGGGTAAAGAAATCAAAGGACATTAGAGAGAAGAGAAGAAAACCCAATCTCATCTACCTCTGGACCGTTACCTCTTCCTTGGGACAGGACAAGTTTCTAAGTTGCTGTTCCCTGGTGTAGTTGCATTAGCTCTGATATCTGATCCTGAGTTCTGCCACTAACTAATCACATCATCGTCTCAAGCAAATTATTAAGTATTTTTGCTACTTTTTTTTTTTTGAGACACAATCTCACTCTGTTGCCCAGGCTACAGTGCAGTGGCACAATCTTGGCTCACTGCAACCTCCACCTCCTGAGTTCAAATGATTCTCCTGTCTCAGCCTCCCAAGTAGCTGAGATTACAGGTGCACAACACCATGCCCAGCTAATTATTGTATTCTTACAAGAATAGAGATGGGATATTCTTATAAGAATAGAGATAGGGTTTCATGATGTTGGCCAGGCTGGTCCTGAACTCCTGGCCTCAGGTGATCTGCCTGCCTGGGCCTCCCAAAGTCCTGGGATTACAGGCATGAACTACCATGCCTGGCCTTATCTTTGCTATTTTTAAAAATGGAATACTGCCACCCCTCCTGCTCTGCCTCAGGGCCATCTTGACAAAACTCTTTTATATACTATTACTATAGGGTGAGGCAGAACAAAGACGAACGTGTGCATAGGGTGCTCCAGAAACACCATGAAAGGGCAGTCGCTGAGCTTAGGATTGGGTCAGGAAAGCTTCTTGCACAAAGATAGACATGAATTACTATATTATTATTATTATTATTATTTATTTGAGCCAGGGTCTCACTCTGTTGCCCAGGATGGAGTGCAATGGCATGATCATGGCTCATTGCAGCCTCAACCTCCTGGGCCCAAACAATCCTCCTGTCTCAGCCCCTCAAGAAGCTGGGACTATAGGTGTGTGCCACTGTGCCTGGCTAATTTTTTAAATTATTTATAGAGATGAGGTCTCAATATGTTGCCCAGGATGGTCTCAAACTCCTGGACTCAAGCAATTCTCCCACTTCAGCCTCCCAAAGGGCTAGGATTATAGGTATGAGCCACCATGCCCAGCCATAGACATGCATTAAAATAGCATCTTTTATCATCTGGAGTTGGTTACTTTTAGGAAATAAAACAGAAGATATCTTAAAAACATGTTCAAAGGGTGCTCTAATTGCTTGTGTCTCAAGCATCATGGTATCAATTTTTCCTCTTTTATGGTCATGTAATCACATTTAATTCCTTCTTTCTATTCTTAAAATAAACATCCTAGAGGGAATTATGTTCTCCATTCTACAGATGAGAATACTGAGTTGATAAAGTTTGCATAACTAACTTAAACTTCACTTAACTGGTCAGTGGCTGAGATGGGCTTTGAACCATAGTTTTCCAACTACCATATTCACACTCTGTCTACCAGAGCAGTGGCTTCCAGATCTGGTGATAATCAAAATTGCCTCAAATGCTGTGAGAATCAACAGACATAATACCCATTGCTACATCTTGCTGTCCATCTATTCTATTCTTAAGAGACTTTAAAAAATTCCATCTTTAACACAGTGCTGCATCTTGCATGTTTTCCTTGGGTATTCCTTTCTGAGAGAATTCTCTAGCTTGAGTCTGGGAGTCAGCATAGTAGAATGGGCAAGCACATGAGTTTGGAGCCAGTATCTGAGTCAAAATCTTTGTTCACTATATGATTTTAAACAAGTTATTTGACCTTGCTATGTCTTTGTTTACTATGCAATGGGAATAATGTATCCTTCAAAGATTAAATGAAGAGATTACAAAGATTAAACAAGCTAATGATGTAAAATAGCTAATGAGGTGCTAGGCACAGGGTAATGTTCAATAAGTCACATCTCACGGTACTCTAGCTCACCCCTCTTCAGAGGAAAGGAAAAGAAGTCAAAGGAGCCAGAATCCAAGCCCATTTAAACAGTCTATCCCTGGCCAGCATTCTGGTCAGGGGCTGCTCTTCCCATGTGACCTTCCATCTAGCACTTGAATGTTGCTGTTATGGATCCAGATGTTTCCCATGTATTTGTTTTTCAAATCAACTTAAAACTGGCAAAAGAAAGATCATGCTCCTTCAAAATTAGAAATCCAAATGCTAATGAAAATCCAATTCACCTACTATGTAATGATTACCTACTATGACAGTCACTGGAAGATTAAAAAAGACAAATAAGCAGGACATAGTCCGTGCCTTTGAGGAACATGTGTTTTATTAGAGAGAATTAGATAAGGTCATAAATGACAACAGGCATACCTTGTTTTATTGTGCTTCATATATTGTACTTCGTAGATATTGCTTTTTTTTTTTTTTTTTTTTTTTTTTTTTTTTTTTTTTTTTACAAATTGAAGGGTTTTGGCAACTCTGCATTGAGCAAGTCTATTGGTGCCATTTTTCCAATAGCATATGCTCACTTTGTGTCTCTGTGTCACATTTTGGTAATTTACAAAATATTTAAAATTTTTTCATCTTTATTATATCTGTTACAGTGATCTGTGATCAGTAATCTTTGATGTTACTATTGTCATTCTTCCTTTGGGGAACCATGAACTGTGCCCATGTAAGATGGTAAATGTAATCAATAACTGTTGAGTGTTCTGACTACTCTGCCACCTGATCATTCCCCCATCTCCCTCCTTCTCTCTTCTTGAGCCCCCCAATCCCTGACACAATAATATTAAAATTAGGCCAATTAATAAATCTACAATGGTCTCTAATTGTTGAAGTGAAAACAAGTCTCACATTTTTATGTTAAATCAAAAGCTAGAAATGATTAATTTAGTGAGGAAGCCATGTCAAAAGCTAAGATAGGCTGAAAGCTGGGGCTCTTTTGCCAGTTATCCCAATTGTGAATGCAAAGGAAAAGTTCTTAAGGGAAATTAAAAGTGCCACTGCAGAGCCAGATCTTGAGTCTGAGGTGTTAAGAGTTTACCCTGAGGCCAAGAGAGAAGCCACAGAAGGTTCACGGGAGGGGGAGGACATGAGACATCCAACAGGTCTGAGTTCCTCTCACAGCAGTAGGCTTTGGTCTGAGTCAGGATGAGTCTAGGACTTGCTCCCCAAGGGACTGTGGGGACTGGGAGGAGCGGGGGAGCAGGGAGAAGGTCCAAGCTGAGGGGAACGGCAAAGAGATGTGAAGGAGATGCTCTCTGATCAGGACACACTCAGAGGTACCCATTTCACGTTGCTAACATGCCAGTCGCTGTGCACTTCTCCATAATGGAGATGTTATCATTATGAGGAAACTGAGGTTCAGAGAAGTCGAGAGACTTGCATGAGATCACACAGTGAGAAAGTGGCCCGGTTCAGAGCCCACACCCTTAACCCCATATTCCACTGCCAGATAGGACTCCCCAGACCCCATGTGGAGCTGGGTCAGTGGGGCCTCTCCCACTTGCACCTTATCTGACTCCAGGTCCCACCCTGAGACAGGCTGGTTCCAGGTGGTAGTGAGACGGGACCCCCTGGGACCATGCCAGGCTGGGACGGCCACCATCTGAGGTCGCCCCGGGTCCTTTCCCCTAGCTATGGAGACCAGGTGCAGCACTTCAAGGTGCTGCGCAAGGCCTCGGGGAAGTACTTCCTGTGGGAGGAGAAGTTCAACTCCCTCAACGAGCTGGTCGACTTCTACCGCACCACCACCATCGCCAAGAAGCGGCAGATCTTCCTGCGCGACGAGGAGCCCTTGCTCAAGTCACCTGGGGCCTGCTTTGCCCAGGCCCAGTTTGACTTCTCAGCCCAGGACCCCTCGCAGCTCAGCTTCTGCCATGGCGACATCATTGGGGTCCTGGAGCATCCAGACCCCCCACTGGTGGCGGGGCCAGTCCTGCGGGCGCGTTGGCTTCTTCCCACGGGGTTATGTGCAGCCCGTGCACCTGTGAGCAGCCCGGCGGCCGATCTGGCCAATGGGCCATTTTACAGGAACTGAGGTCCAGAGAGGACATGGACACCCCCAGCCCGGTCAGAGTCACACGGGGCTCAGTGGACTGCCTTGGACTGAACCGTGGGCTTCTAACTGCCTCCGGCCACTTCGCACAAACTGGGATGGCCCAGGTTCCCCAGCAAGGTTACCCAGCAAGGGTAGCTCCAGGGCTTCCTGGCTGGTTGCCTCCCATTGGCTGCCAGCTGTGTGACACCACAGGGCGGAGTCTGTGGAGACCCCACCCACCTCCTCTTGTCAATGGCCCCATCTGCCAGGAAGGTTGAGGACTCCTAGGTTTCACCCACTGGAGGCTCAACCTGAGGAACCCTGGCCATGGTGGGTGGGTTCACCTTGGGTTGACCACCCACTGGGCCTGCCTACCCCTCCTTCAAAAGGCCCCTGGAGTTGTTCGGGCTGTTGGGAGGTGGCTCAGCCTCGAAGGACAGACTGCACACCTGTTGACCTAAATTCACTGGACAGACTCCAGGTGGACACCAACTCCTCAACAGCCCCATGACTTCAGCTCCACCTGGGGCACCCAGCACCCCCTGCCCCACCACAGGGCTAGAGGCCCTGAGACCCTGAAAAAGGGGCAGGCAGTAGGGAAGGTGGAGGCACACTCCTCTTCTGTTGGACAGGTGAGCTCTGAGGGCAAGCCCTGGGCCTAGCCATGCAGAGACCCTGGCTGCCCTGGCTCTTGTTTGTTTAGGCCCAGATTCTGCCCAGACCAGGGCCCAGGAGAGCTCTCAGGAGGCTGAGAAACCTCCAGGGCAGACAGAAAGTTGGGGCCAGAGCTGGGTTTTAGAGATCCTACAGGATCCCACATGGGACAGCTACCTAGGTGGGGCACGGCCCCTACCCGAGAACGGGAGGGTCCTCCAGAGAATGTGCCACCATCGAGGATATGAGCAGGGCCTGTCCAGAGCCTGGGCACCTTTGGGAGCAGGAAAAGTGAGGTGGGACTTGGAAAGGCTTTGAATGCCAGGCTGATGGTCGAGGGGCAAGTGGGCAGGGAGGGAGTGCAAGGAGGCTCCCACTGGCATTTGGTAGCAGGTGGGTGGAGGGAGGAGCCCCTGGAGATGGCTGCAGTCCCTTAATGAGGGGCCTTGCTCTGGGCATGTGGGGCTTTCCCTCCATCCAGAGCTGGCCCAAGACCCTTGGAGCCCTGAGTGCTGGCAAGTCTCACTGCTCCTGTGTATTCAAAAGGAAACAGTAAAACCAACATCAGGATGTCCATCAGAAATCTAATTTTCTTTCCAAAAAAAAAAAAAAAAGTGCCACTGCAGTGAATACATGAAGAAGAGACGGCCTTGTTGCTGATGTAAAGAAAGTTTTAGTGGTCTGGATAGAAGATCAAGCCAGCCACAACATTCCCTTAGACCAAAGCCTAATCCAGAGCAAGGTCCCAACTCTCTTCAATTCTATGAAGGCTGAGAGAGGTGAGGAAGGCAAGAAGAAAAGTTTGAAGCTAGCAGGGATTGGTTCATGAAGTTTAAGGAAAGAAGCCATCGCCATAACCTAAAAGTACAAGGTGAAGCAGCAAGTGCTGATGGAGAAGCAGTAGCAAGTTATCCAGAAGACCTAACTAAAATAATTGAGGAAAGTGGTTACACTAAACAACATAGATAATATAGATAAAACCACCTTATATTGGGAGAAGATGCCATTTAGGACTATCATAGCTAGGGAAGAAAAGTCAGTGCCTGGCTTCAAAGCTTCGAAGGACAGTCTGCCTCACTTGTTCAAGGCTAATGCAGCTGGTAACTTAAAGTTGAAGCTAGTTCTGATTTGCCATTCTGAAAATCCCAGGGCTCCTAAAAAATATGTTAAATCTACTCTGCCTATGCTTTATAAACGTAACAACAAAGCCTGGATAACAAGACATCTGTTTACAGCATGGTTTACTGAATATTTTAAGCCCACTTTTGAGAACTACTGCTTAGAAAAAACTATTTCTTTCAAAATATTACTACTCATTGACAATACATCTGTTCACACAAGAGCTCTGATAGAGATATACATAGAAATTAATGTTGTTTTTGTATCTGCTAACACAGCATCCATTCTGCAGCCTATGGATTAAGGGGTAATTTCAACTTCCAACTTTTACCGTGTAACAAATACATTTTGTAAGGCTATAGCTGCTATAAATAGTGATTCTTCTGATGGATCTGGGCAAAGTGAATTGAAAATCTTCTAGAAAGTATTACCCATTCTAGATGCTTTTAATAACATTCATGATTCATGAGAGGAGGCCAAAATATTAACATTAACAGGAGTTTGGGAGAGTTGATTCCAACCCTCGTGAATGGCTTTGAGGAGTTCGAGACTTTAATGGAGAAAGTAACTGCAGATATGAAAGAAGTAACAAGAGAACTAGAACTTGAAGTGGGGCCTGAAGAGGTGCCCAGATTAGTGCAATCTCATGATAAAATGTGAATGAATGAGGAATTGTTTCTTATAGATGAGCAAAGAAAGTGGTTTCTTGAAATGGAATCTGCTCCTGATGACACTGTTAACATTGTTAAAATGATGACAAAGGATTTAGAATATTATATAAACTAAGTTGATAAAGCAGTGGCAGGGTTTGAGAGTATTAACTCCAAATTTGAAAGAAGTTCTACTGTAGGTAAAATGCTATAAAACAGTATCTCATGCTACAGAGAAAGCTTTAGTGAAAGGAAGAGTTCAATGATGCAACAAATTTCATTGTTGTCTTATTTTAAGAAATTGCCACAGCCATGTCAACCTTCAGCAACCACCACCCTGATCAGTTAGCAGCCATCAACATATAGGCAAAACCCTCCACCAACAAAGAGATTACAAATGGCTGAAGGCTGAAATGATTATTAATATTTTTAAGCAATAATTTATTTTAAAATTAAGGTATGAACATTATTTTAAACATAATGCTACGGCATAATTAATATGTTTCATTATAGTGTAAACACAACTTTATATGCACTGGGAAACCAAAAAATCTGTGTGACTCTCTTTATTGTGGTGGTCTAGAACTGAACCTGCAGTATCTCCAAGGTATGCCTGTATATATAAAGTGCAATAAGAGAAGCTGCACAAGACAGAAGAAAGGTATTTTAAGAGTTCCAGGGAAGAAAAAGGTACTTCCACTTTGATTAAGATTTCATGAAGGAGGATTAAAATGGCAGACAGGAGGCAGAAGTAGCTTTCAGCTTCTATTCAGCCAGACAGAGCAGCATGAGGAGGTTCACATTGTGAGCTTTTGCTCCAAGAAATACCACAGGAACATACCATGAAAACTGAGAGAATCCACAGACCCTTTGAAGGAACTGGATTGCCGCTGAAGGCTCCCTGAGATTCCAAAAAACTGTGATTCTGCTTGCTTTCTCAGTGAGGAGGCTGGTGGTCTGGGGCAAGTTCTCAGCCCTGGTCACTGGCTGTCTCGAAATAGACCCTGTGCTGTTGCGTGGCAGGATGGGAGTGAGACCAGCCTTTAGGACTGAGGGCTGTGTGGGAGAGGGGTGAGGCCTGTGACTGCCAGCTTTCCCCCACTTCCCTGGTGACCTGTGTGACTCAACAGAGGCAGCCATAATCCCCCTGGGAACATAACTCCATTGGCCTGGGAACTGCACCCCCAACCACCACAGCAGCCACATCAAGCCCCGCCCGAGGAAAGGCTTAGCTCAGACACACCTATCCCTTTCCCCACCTTCTGGTCTTTCTCTACCCACTCTGGCTGCCAAAGAAAAAGGACATAATCTCTTGGGAGCTTGTGGCCCTGCCCACTGCCTGAGAAACCTAAATACTTAACTAGGTGACCCTAGCCAAGATTCCTTCCTGCCTATATACCACAGCTAATGCACTCTTGAAAGTGTCACCTCCTGGCTGGAGGCCAACCAACATAAAACCAGCACACTAAACAAAAATACAGCCAAGGACACTCAAAAGGTCCACTTCACTTACCTGCTACCTCCACCAGAGCAGGTGCTGGTATCCAAAGCTGAAAGACCTGAAGACAGTTCATATCATAGGACTCTTTGCAGATACTCCCTGGTACCAGCCCAGAGCCTGGTAGCTCTGCTGTGTGGGTAGACCCAGAAGAGCAAAAACAATCACTACAGTTAGGGTCTCAGGAAGCACCATTCCTAGGGAAGTCCCCCTAGGAAAAGGACATCAAGGAAGCACCCCACAGACAAAAGAATCTGAACTGCCCTTGAGTCCCAGATCTCACCTCTGACATAGTCTACCCAAATGAGAAGAAACCAGCAAAACAATTTTGGTAATATGGCAAAATAAGTTTATTTAACACCCCCCAAAATTACACCAGCTCACCAGCAATGGATCCAAACCAAGATGAAATCTCAGAATTGCCAGAAAAAGAATTCAGAAGGTCGATTATTAAGCTAATCAAGGAGGCACCAGAGAAAGATGCAGTCCAACTTAAAGAAATTGAAAACATGATACAGGATATGAAAGGAAAAATCTTCAGAGAAATAGATAACATAAATAAAAAATAATCACACTTCTAGAAATCAAAGACACACTTAGAAAAATGCAAAATGCACTGGAAAGTCTCAGCAATAGAATCGAACAGCAGAAGAAAGAACTTGAGACCTCAAAGACCAGGCTTTCAAATTAAACTAATCCATCAAAGACAAAGAAAAAAGAATTTTAAAAAATGAACGAAGGGTCCAAGTAGTTTAGGACTATGTTAAGCATCCAAACCTAAGAAAAGTTGGTGTTTCTAAGGAAGAAGAGAAATCTAAAAGTTTGGAAAATATATTTGAGGGAATAATCAAGGAAAAGTTCCCTGGCCTTGCTAGAGATTTAGACATCCAAATACAAGAAGCTGAAAGAACAACTGGGAAATTCATCACAAAAAGTTCATTGCCTAGGCACGTAGTCATTAAGTTATCTAAAGTCAAGAGGAAGAAAAGAATCTTAAGAGCTAAGAGGTAAAACCATCAGGTAACACATAAAGGAAAACCTATAAGACTATCAGCAGATTTCTCAGGAGAATATCTACAAGCTAGAAGAGATTGGGGTCTTCATTTTAGCCTCCTTAAGCAAAACAATTATCAGCTAAGAATTGTGTATCCAGTGAAACTAAGCTTCATAAATGAAGAAAAGAAACATTTTTTTCCAGAAAAACAAATGCTTAGAGAATTCACCACTACCAAGCTAGCACTATATGAACTGCTAAAAGGAGCTCTAGGTCTTGAAACAAATCCTCAAAATACACCAGAATAGAACCTCGTTAAAGCATAAATCTCACAGGACCTATAAAACAATAACACAATTTAAAAAAAGGGTATTTAGGCAACAAATGTCATGATGAATAGAATAGTAGCTCATATTTCAATACTAACATTGAATATAAATGGCCTAAATGTACCACTTAAAAGATACAGATTGGTAGAATAAATAAGAATTCACCAACCAAGTTTCTGCTGTCTTCAGGAGACTCACTTAACACATAAGGACTTACATAAACTTAAGGTAAGTGAGTGGAAAAAGATATTCCATGCAAATGGACACCAAAGGTGAGCAGGAATAGCTATTCTTATATCAGACAAAACAAACTTTAAATCAACAACAGTTAAAAACGACAAAGAGGGACATTATATGATGATAAAATGACTAGTCCAATAGGAGAATATCACAATCCTAAATATATATGTACCTAACACTGGAGCTCCCAAATGTATAAAGCAATTACTACTAGACTAGACCTAAGAAATGAGATAGATAGCAACACAATAATCGTGGGTGACTTTAATACTCCACTGACAGCACTAGACAGGTCATCAAGACAGAAACTCAACAAAGAAGCAATGGACTTAAACTATATCCTACAACAAATGGACTTAACCGATGCTTACAGAACATTCTACCCAACAACTGCAGAATATGCATTCTATTCATCAGCACATGGAACATTCTCCAAGATAGATCACATGATAGACCACAAAACAAGTCTCTGTAAATTTAAGAAAATTGAAATTATATCAAGTATTTTCTCAGTCCACAATGGAAGAAAATTGGAAATCAATGCCAAAAGGATTCCTCAAAACCATCCAAATAAATGGATATTAAATAACCTGCTCCTGAATGATTGGTGGGTCAACAATGAAATCAATATTGAAATTAAAAAAATTTTGAACTGAACGATAATAGTGACACAACCTATCAAAACCTCTGGGATATGGCAAAAGTGGTGCTAAGAGGAAAGTTCATAGCATTAAATGCCTACATCAAAAAGTCTGAAAGAGCACAAATAAACAATCTAAGGTAATACTTCACAGAACTGAAGAAACCAGAATAATCCAAACGAAAGCCCAGCAGAAGAAAAGAAATAGTAAAATCAGAGCAGAATTAAATGAAATTGAAACAAAAAAATACGATACAAAAGAAAAATGAAACGAAAAAACCACTTCTTTGAAAAGATAAATAAAATTGATAGACTGTTAGTGACATTAAACAAGAAAGGAAGAGAGAAGATCCAAATAAGCTCAATTAGAAGTGAAATGGGAGATATTACTACTGATACCACAGATATATGAAAGATTATTCAAGGCTACTATGAACAACTTTACACTCATAAACTAGAAAACCTAGAGGAGATAGATAAATTCCTGGAAATATACAACCCTCCTAGATTAAACCATGAAGATATAGAATCTCTGAATAGACCAATAACAAGAAGCAAGATTAAAATGGTAATAAAAAAGATGCCAACAAAAAAAAGTCCAGGACCAGATGGAGTCACAGCTGAATTCTATCAGATGTTTGAAGAATTGGTACCAATCCTATTGACACTATTCCACAAGAAAGCGAAAGAGAGAATCCTCCCAAAATTATTCTATGAAGCCAGTACCACCTAATACCAAAGCCAGGGAAAGACATAAAAAAAGAAAACTACAGACCAATATCCCTGATGAACATAGATGCAAAAAATCCTCAATAAAATACTAGCTAAACAAATCCAACAGCATATTAAAAAGAAAATGCACCATGATCAAGTGGGTTTTATATCAGGGATGCAGGGATGGTTTAACATCCACAAGTGAATAAATGTGATACACCACATAAACAGAATTGAAAACAAAAATCATGTAATCATCACAATAGATGCAGAAAAAACATGTGACAAAATCCAGCATCCCTTAATGATTAAAACCCTCAGGAAAATCAGCATAGAAGGGATATACCTTAAGGTAATAAAATCCATCTATGACAAACCCATAGCCAATATTATACTGAATGAGAAAAAGTTGAAATCATTCCCTCTGAGAACTGGAACAAGACAAAAATGCAGACTTTCAACACATCTATTCAACATACTACTGGAAGTCCTAGCCAGAGCAATCAGACAAGAGAAAGAAATCAAGGGCATCCAACTTGGTAAAGAGGAAGTCAGACTGTCACTGTTTGCTGATGATAGGATCATATACCTAGAAAACCCAAAAGACTCATCCAAAAAGCTCCTAGAATTGGTAAATAAATTCAGCAAAGTTTCAGGATACAAAATTAATGTACACAAATCAGTAGCTCTGCTATACACCAAGAGCAACCAAGCTGAGAATCAAATAAAAAACTCAACCCCTTTTACAATAGCTGCAATAAAAATTTTAAAATTTCAGAATATACCTAACCAACCAGGTGAAAGACCTCTACAAGGAAAACTACAAAACACTGCTGAAAGAAATCATAGACATCACACAAACAATTGGAAGCACATCTCATGCTCATAAATGGGTAGAATCAATACTGTGAAAATGACCATACTACCAAAAGCAATATACAAATTTAATGTAATTTCCCTCAAAATACCACATCATTCTTCACAGAACAAGAGAAAACAATTCTAAAATTCATATAGGACCAAAAAAGAGCCAGCATAGTTAAAACCAGACTAAACAAAAATAAAAAATATGGAGGCATGACAGTACCTGACTTTAAACCACACTATATATAAGGCCATAGTCACCAAAACAGCATGGTACTGGTATAAAAATAGGCACATAGACCAATGGAACAGAATAGAGAATCCAGAAATAAAGCCAAATACTTACAACCAACTGATATTTGTGAAAGCAAACAAAAACATAAAGTGGGGAAAGGACACCCTATTCAACAAATGCTGCTGGGATAATTGGCAAGCCACATGTGAAGAATGAAACTGGATCCTCATCTCTCACCTTATACAAAAATCAACTCAAGGTGGATCAAAGACTTAAATCTAAGACTGAAACCATAAAAACTCTAGAAGATAACATCAGAAAAATCCTACTAAACATTGGGTTAGGCAAAGACTTCATGGCCAAGAACCCAAAAGCAATTGCAACAAAAACAAAGATAAATAGATGGAACTTAATTAAACTAAAAACCTTCTGCACAGCAAAAGAAATAATCAGCAGAGTTAACAGACAACCCACAGAGTGGGAGAAAAATTTTCACAATCTATACATTCCACAAAGGACTAATATCCAGAATCTACAAAGAACTCAAACAAATCAGCAAGAAAAAAACAAACAACCCTATCAAAAAGTGGGCCAAGGACATGAATAGACAATTATCAAAAGAAGATATACTAATGGCCAAGAAGCACATGGAAAAATGCTCAACACCACTAATGATCAGGGCAGTGCAAATCAAAACCACAATGTGATACCACCTCACTCCTGCAAGAATAGCCATAATAAAGAAAATAATAGATGTTGGTAATACAGTTTGGCTCTGTATCCCCACCCAAATCTCATCTTGAATTGTAGTCTGAATTTTAATCACCATGTGTTGGGGGAGGGACCTTGTGGGAGGTGATTGGATCATGGGGGTGGTCTCCCCATGCTGTTCTCATGATAGTGAGTGATTTCTCACAAGCTCTGATGATTTAATACTGGTCTTTTCCCCACTTCACTCTGCACTTCTCCTTCCTGCCGCCTTGTGAAGAAGAATGTGTTTGCTTCCCCTTCTGCCATGATTGTCAGTTTCCTGAGGCATCCCCAACCCTGTGGAATTGTGAGTCAGTTAAACCTCTTTCCTTTATAAGTTATCCAGTCTTGGGAAGTTGCTTACAGTGGTGTAACAATGGACCAATACAGTAAATTGGTACTGAAGGGGCAGGGCACTGCTCTAAGGATACCCAAAAATGTGGAAGCAACTTTGGAACTGGGTAAGTTCCAAAGGAAGAGGTTGGAACTGTTTGGAGGGCTCTGAAGAAGACAGGAAAATGTGGGAAAGTTTGGAACTTCCTAGAGACTTACTGAATGGCTTTGACCAAAATGCTGATAGGGATATGGACAATAAAGCCCAGGCTGAGGTGGTCTCAGATGGAGATAAGGAACTTGTTGGGAACTGGAATAAAGATGACTCTTGCTATGCTTTACTGAAGACAATGGTGGCTTTTTGCCCCCCCTTGAGATCTGTGGAACTTTGGACTTAAGAGAGACGACTTAGGGTATGTGGCAGAAGAAATTTCTAAGCAGCAAAGCATTCAAGAGGTGACAGAGCATAAAAGTTTGGAAAGTTTGCAGCCTGACAATGCAAAAGAAAAGAAAAGTCCATTTTCTGGGGAGAAATTCAAAGTAGCTGCAGAAATTTGCGTAAGTAATGAAGAGCTGAATGCTAACTGCCAAGACAATGTGGAAAATGTCTCGAGGGCATGTCAGAGACCTTCATGGCAGCTCTTCCCATCACAGGCCCAGAGACCTAGTAGGGAAAAAATGGTTTCCTGGGCAGGGTCTAGGGCCCCCTGATGTGTGCAGCCTTGGGACTTCGTGCCCTGCATTCCAGCTGCTCCAGCCTTGTCTAAAAGGGGCCAAGGTACAGCTCAGGCCATTGTTTCAGAGGGTGCAAGCCCCAAGTCTTGACAGCTTCTATGTGGTGTCAGTCCTACAGGTATGCAGAAGACAAGAATTGAGGTTTGGGAACTTCTGCCTAGATTTCAGGGGATGTATGGAAATGCCTGAATGTCCAGACAGAAGTCTGTGGCAGGGGTGCAGCCCTCATGGAGAACAACAGTGCAGAAGTGAAATGTGGGGTCCAAGCCCCAACACAGAGTCCCCACTGGGGCACTGTCTAGTGGAAATGTGAGAAGAGAGACACCATCCTCCAGAACCCAGAATGGTAGATCCACCAACAGTTTGCATCGTGTGCCTGGAAAAGCTGTAGACAATACCAGCCATGAAAGCAGCCAGAGGGGGCTATATTCTGCAAAACCACAGGAGTGGAGCTGCCCAAGGCCGTGGGAACCCACCCCTTGTATCAGCATGCCCTGGATATGAGACATGGAATCAAAGGAGATTATTTTGGAGCTTTAAGATTTAATGATTGCCTTGCTGGATTTTGGACTTGCGTAAGGCCTGTAGCCCCTTTGTTTTGGCCACTTTCTCCCACCTGGAACAGCTGTATTTACCCAATGCCTATACCTCCATTGTATCTAGGAAGTAACTAACTTGCCTTTGATTTTACAGGCGCATAGGCAGAAGAGACTTGCCTTGTCTCAGATAAGACTATAGACTTGGACTTTTGGGTTAATGCTGAAATGAGTTAAGACTAGGGAACTGTTGGGAAGGCATAATTGTGTTTTGAAATGTTAGAAAGATGAGATTTTGGAAGGGCCAGGAGCAGAATGATATAGTCTGGCTCACATGTCCCCACCCAAATCTTATCTTGAATTGTAACCCAAATTGTAATCCCCATGTGTTGGGGTAGGAACCTTGTGAGAGGTGACTGGATCATGGGGGTGGTTCCCTCATGCTGATCTTGTGATAGTGAGTGAGTTCTTACAAGATCTGATGGTTTTATAAAGTGCTCTTCCCTGCTTTGCTCTGCACTTCTCCTCCTTGCTTCCTTGTGAAGGACATGTTTGCTTCCCCTTCTGCCAAGATTGTAAGTTTCCTGAGCCCTGTGGAACTGTGAGTCAATTATACCTCTTTCCTTTTTAAATTACTCAGTCTTGGGCACTTCCTTTTAGCAGCATGAAAATGGACTAATACAGTTGGTGTGGATGTGGTAAAAAGGGAACACTTTTACACTGTTGGTGGGAATGTAAACTAGTACAAGCACTATAGAAAACAGTGTGGATATTCCTTAAATAACTAAAAATATATCTACCATTTGATCCAGCAATCCTGCTATTAGGTATCTACCCAGAGGAAAAGAAGCAAGGGTGGGTTGTGGCCATGTTGTGGATGCTTTAAATGCTGGGGATGGAGATTAACTCAATTTAAAAGAGCCAATGAGACATTTTGAACAGGGGACAATATGATTGGAGTTTTTATCAGAGTTCATTAATCATGCAGTAAATGATACTCACACCTTGGGAAGTGATAAAAATTAAATGAGTCCAAAGCAGCACAATTTGCAATTACAAAAATATAGAACCAGCCCAAATGCCCATCCCTCAACAAGTGGATAAAGAAAATGTGATATCTATATCTATATCTATACTACAGAATACTACTCAGCCACAAAAAGGAACAAAATAATGACATTTGCAGCAACCTGAATGGAATTGGAGACTATTATTCTAAGTGAAGTAACTCAGGAATGGAAAACCAAACATCGTGTGATCTCACTCATAAGTGGGAGCTAAGCTATGAGGACACAAAGGCATAAGAATGATACAATGGACTTTGGTGATGACTTAGGGGAAAGGGTGGAAGGGGGGTGAGGGATAAAAGATTACACATCGAATACAGTGTATACTGCTTGGGTGACAGGTGCACCAAAATCTCAGAAATCACCCCTAAAGACCTTATTCATGTAACCAAGTACCACTTGTTCTCTGAGAACCTATTGAAATGAAAAATAAATTTAAAAAAATAAGACTTCATGAAGGAGAATTCACATGACTTTAAAAGATGAGTGGAATTTCAACAAGTGGAGGGAGCAGAGCAAGAGGATATGTCAAGACAATCTGTCAGGTGGAGGGAATAACATTAATCAAGGATGGAGATGGAGAAATGAAGTCTTGCTTGGAGAACATCAAGGAGTCAACTTCAATTGCACTAAAGCAAGAGATACATGTATTTAAGTAGTGGGAGAAAAAGCAGCAGGGGTGGGTTGTGGCCATATTGTGGATGCTTTAAATGTTGGGGATGGAGATTAACTCAATTTGAAAGAGCCAATGAGACATTTTGAACAGGGGGCAATATGATTGGAGTTTTCATCAGAGTCCATTAATCATGTGGTAAATGATACTCACATCTTGGGAAATGACAAAAATTAAATGAGTCCAAAGCAGTGAAGTATCTAACTAAATTTAGTAGGTGCAAAATTAATTCCCTCTTCTCCCTTCTATTGCACTCATTGTTTCTGAAGCTGTGATCTGCAAAAATGGGCCTAGAGTCCTATCAAGACTCTGCTGGCTGTGAATTTCATTTTTCCTCCCAGAATCCAGCTAAAGGTGTGACCTGGGTCTAGAAAATCCCCAGATGGAGGCCAGAGGATAAGCTTTTGTGACCTCTAGCTATTTACTTGAGCCTGAGAAACTTAGAATTCCATAGCTTAAATCCAGCCAGCCTGGCACTTGCTGCTAAAAGCTGCCTGAGGAGAGCTGGCCCTCTCTCTCTCCTCTCTTTTAATATGTCTCTTTAGAGGCTCATTTTGACTGACCAGCCAACATCACTTGGCATTCAGGAAGCATGTCTCCCCCCTCACTGCCTCCCCTGCGGTGAGCCTTGAGGATGATTTGGGGTTTTGTAGCCTATTATTTCTCGTCCCTCTTCCCTTCTCCTGCTGCTGGGAGGCTTTTTTTTCTGATAAGAACCTTCTAGCAGTTTCATCAGAGCCATTGTTAAGAAGAGGCGAGTCTTCTCACAATGGATACCTGATGATTTCCCCCTTTCTGCAGACAAATCAGTCCTTAGTGAAAGGTCTCATAATTGCTCTTGCACCATTATTCTGGATGTGCTGGTTTAGGGCCCCTCACTCAGCCCCCTTGGGAGAGGGAAAGAAAAATCCTGTTTCTTGCCATTCACTTTTTAAAAAATATGGCTGTGAAAATGCTCTCATTCTCCACTAATGGGATTTGAGGAAGACACAAATTCTGCACTTCTTACCCCCACACATTCTTGCAACATCCTTTACAGACTCAGAGGTTAACTGTGCTTTCCTGGGGTCCCTCCTCTCTTGTCCAACACATGGTGTTTCATCTCCCCAGAAATCAAAATGCACTAACCCAGGCCCCTCTCAAGCATTTCAGTGTCTTAAAATAGAAAAACCACCCTTTCTGTATTCCACCCCTCCTAGGTAATTTTCTTTTTCTTCTACTCCCACACCTGCAGGCTAGCTTTCATCAGCTCACTCAAAAATTCATAAATTAAGTGTCCAGTATGGTTAAGGCACTGTGATAGGCACAGTGGGAGATGAATTACCCCTCAGCCTTCTCTATCTCGCATTCCTATATATTAGAGATCAAAGGCAGGCACTTTCGTTGGAAAGGCCAAATTCTTCCCAAGGCACCCAAGAGCAACCCCATCTGATTCGCTCGTGATGTCCTCTGGGTAACAGACACCCTGTCAGAGGTAATTATTTACTTTAAAGCCACTCATTAGGAAATATTTAAATCTGGATTTCTTAACCCAACTCCCTGCAAATTGCAAGACTAATCTCCAGTGAATTCGTTTCTTACTCAACTTTTGGCTGACTCTTGGGAAAAAAGGAATTGGGGAAAGTGTTTCAAGTCAAACTGAGAACTGAACATACAGATACTCACCTGTAAGCGGAAAAAAGGTATTGACCAGACAAAAAAAGGGGAAGGTGGAGGTCTCCATCATGGGTGACAAAAGAGAAACAGATTTAGTCTTATAACTGTCAATTGAAGAATGATGGGTTCGTAAATTTAGGAAGGAGAGCTTCATTTCTCATAAATGGTTAGTCTGCAGGGTGGCCAATGTGATAGGCTGGAAAGCATAGCCTTTGGACAGAAGCCAGAAACAGACACTTTGAGGGAAGGATAAATGGAATAGAAATTTATAATATATAAAGCAGAGTGGTTTTATATATTTTATTTAGAGATATGTGCATGTATATATATATTATATGTATATAAATATATATTATATATCTATAAGTATATATAAAGCAATTTATATAAATATATATAAAGCCATTCTGCTTGATATTATATGTTATAGGAGAAGTCATGAATATTTATGAAAGGAGAAATATGCACGAACTTCATGCTCCTTCATGGGTCCCATGTTCAAAAAAATGGTGGCAAGCAAGATCCAACGGTGGAATTTTTGGGCCTCTAATATCAAAAGGTGAAGCAGAGGACATGAAAACCCTCACTGCACATCCTCCACAGACTTGCCAAAACCACTCCATGGTCAGTAGTCTCTTATCAGGAAGGAGTGCTGGTTAGTTGTGCTGAAACCACAAAAGACAGGGGCAGTGTCAGGTGGCTGGTGGATATCAGGGGTGGAGTCTTTCGAAAGAGCTGGTTTCTGTTGAACCCTTTGGGAAGAAAGCCTAATGGCAGTTAGCGAGGGAGGAGGTATGACAAGGCATGTCAGATCCCCCATCTTGTCATGGCCAGGAACTCAGCTTCCAAGGTTTCTCCAAGGTCCCCTTGGCCAAGTGGGGGGTCCATTCAGTTGGCTTGGAGGCTTAAAATTTTATTTTTAGTTCTCATAATTGAGTCATTTGTTGGAGGAAGAGCAAGTACTACAGGTTTCTCTAATATTGACCTCTAAAGCAGAGGATCTGAAGGACAATTAGACTATGTTAAACAGTGTTAAAGAGACTGGTTTTGCTACATGAACAGTAAAGCCAACATGGTTTTAATAGAGTAGCCATATCTCTCTTCTTGCCTCCCTTCATCTTGTCATCCTACAGAAGCAAGCAGAGCCAACGCTCAACTGACCATGCCAAGGAAAATGTGCCATACACATTCCTGAGACTCCAAGGCCTTCTCTGTAGGGCTTGGTGTTTTGCCCAGTTAATCTCTTCTTCCTAACTGTTGAATTCAGTTAGTAACATCTCTTTTCATATTGAGGGTCTCTTGTACTTGCTTCCTTATTCTTGGCTACGTTTCATTGAGTTTGGCTTATTGTTGCTTTGGTCCTGTTAAAGGCTCTTACCTAAACATTAAGGGAAGAATTATGGGCAGAGATTTTCCTTTAACCAAATAAGCCATTTCACAGGAGGCTTACATAGATTCACTAGACATCAGTAAAACAAGAGTAAGCCTCCATGCCACCCCTAATCTGCCAGCACCCAAAGGGAGGAAAGGGCAGCATCCCTGGTCCAGAGTGATAGCTCTCACAGTGCCAAACAGTGTGAGGACCATGCAAGAATACAGATGAACAGACATTGTCCTAGCAGCATGTGTTTTATGAAAAAGTACCGAGTCCCATTTTGGTCAGAAAGGTCATCAATCCTGTTGCTGGTTTTAGCATGGACAAGTGTGCTAGGATCCCCCAGAGAGAAGCGGCCACTTGGAAGTAAGCATGGCCCTTAGGAGGTGTGGCTAGATATTCAAGTGCTGGACCTCATGCCAAGAATGCACTGCTTCTTTCAAATTACATCCCTAAAACCAGTCACATCTTTCCAAATCTAATATAACATTTGCACCTAAATTCAAATACAACTCTTTCTTACAGTTGAATGAATCACTTTGTGCCTTGGTTTTTTCACTTAAAAATACTGAAAAGAGGCCAGGTGTGGCAGCTCATGCCTGTAATCCCAGCACTTTGGGAAGCTGAGATGGGCGGCTCACTTGAGGTCAGGAGTTTGAGACCAGCCTAGCCAACATGGTGAAACCCATCTCTACTTAAAAAAATTAGCCAGGCATGGTGGCAGCTGCCTGTAATCCCTGCTACTTGGAAGGCTGAGGCATGAGAATCACTTGAACCTGGGAGGTGGAGGTTGCAGTGAGTCAAGATCGCGCCACTGCATTCCAGCCTGGATGGCAGAGCAAGACTCTGTCTCAAAAATATAGATAGATAGATAGATGATAGATGATAGATAGATAGATAGATAGATAGATAGATAGATAATAGCATCTGCTTCTTAATGTTACTATGATGATTAAATGAGATTAGAATAGTGCTTGGCATACAGTAAAAACTCATTAAATGCTGTCTAGTGTTATTGTCGTTGCTGTTGTTATAAGTTAAAATCCACAAGCTTTAACTTAGAGTAGAATTTGGAAATTGGAAAAAGTAATTTCAAGGCCCAAGTTTCACCAGAAAGGAACTTCCCTGAGAAACCCTTATCAATACACATCCAAGTAAGTGAAGGAATGCAGTATTATATCTTATTTGGCAGAACGTTTTCCTTCTGGGTCTATTTCACTCATTTATAGCCCCAATGAGAGAATGCTGATTGGGTTGCAGGGAAAGTTGGGTAAAGTTTTCATAGCCTAGAATATTCTTGATAATAACTAGAATTTATCCAAGAAATTAAAATATAAGATCATCCACAGGTTATATATCAGTAATCAAAAGTGAGTATATTATTCTCACTCGGTTTGCTAATGGTTGAAATTGCTCAGCGGGGTAGTGGAATAGTAGAGACCAGATGCTAAGATTCTCTGGTCCTGGGGAAGCAGGTTTTCCATAGGGTCTCCATAGCACAGGTCACGGTGACATTTACCATAACTGGCAACTGGTGCACAGCTCCATAGTAAACATGGAAATGACTTCACTGTAACTAACTTGCTAGCTCCATGTTTTAAGAATTGTGCAAGAATCACTCATCTGCATAGAGAGTACTGATGGTTACACAGCATGTATTTAATGCCAGTGAACTGTACACTTACAAGTGGTTACAATGACAGATATGTCTATCTTGCCACAATAAAAAAATAAAGTTGCAAATAAAAAATAAACAAAAATAAGCACCACCCCGTCTTTAGCCCAGAAGATAGGACATCGTAATACATCTACCCACCAAATGGTAGGACAAAATAGGTAGTAAGTCCACGGGTGAGAAAGTTGACTTGAGGAGAGGAAAACTAGCCTATGAATCACATCTAATTAATTTCAGAGAGTATCAGCTGGTATTCAAATATGTACAGCCTCTTATGTATGCTGGGATGGAAAACTAACAAACAGGAAAGAATGTGTCTCCATAGTTTAGCAAGGTAGCCAAGAAGCCGAAATAGATTCTGCCCGTAAAATGCTATTAGAAATCTACTCAATTAAGGCAACCCCTTACTGTGAGGCCCAATTTCTTTGGCCACATTTTTCACTCTATATGGGTGAGGTTGAGTAAGGACGCCAGCCCAAGTTTATGGGTCTTCAAGTCTTCTTTTAAGAAGGCTTTTAATCCCTCTTTTCAGGGAGGCTGGTCTCGCCAGGAATGGCAAGCTTGCCAGGAACCTACGGTCTTTGGCGCCACTCACAACACTGCTAACTGCTGCTGTCACCACTCTTGTAGGGGGTGGTCTCCTGCACGGCGCCTGCTGCGCCCTCTAGTGTCATCAACGGTCTTGTGCAGTTCTTTGTGGGAAAGGGAACAAGGCTTAGAGTTATTCAAAGCCTAACCTCCAGCGATTTTCCTTTCTGGACTCCTTGGTTCATAGAGAGCGCCCTCAGGGGTCATGGCAGAGGGGAGCCCTGGGTATCCTGTGTATCCGTGTGTATACCCAGGAATTCGGGTCACTTAAAATTCTTGCATTCCTCTTCATTCATTTTCCAGTGAAGTTCAACAGCACACATACAATAGCAATTCTAGAAACTATTCTGGACAGATAGGTCTCCAGGGTGCAGAGGCTAAACAGACACTAACAACAACTATGGCAGAGCCATGTTGAGGCTCACAGCCCTGTTTTTTCCCCCTAAGCCTATGTCTAGACTGTACATCCCAGCCAGCCTTGCAGTTAGCTATGACCAGTAATTGAATTCTAATCCATGTGTAAAAAGCCATATATAAAGAAACAATGAATTTGTTTAGGCTCTTAAAAACTCCCACACTTCATCCTCCTTTTTTTTTTCCTCATATGCTAGCTGAATGAAAAAGATTTCAAGTTCCTGGAGGACAGTGGGCTATAATATGGGACACCATCCAGGGAAAAACATGGACTTTGGTCTGTGACATGAGCGAGAAATAAACTTTTATGGTATTAAGCCACTAAGATTTTGAGTCTGTTCATTATATCAGAAAGCATTACTTGGCCTAACTAGTACATTGACCCTGTGATTCTACTTTCAAAACAGCATGCTAATAAAAAAGCAGTGATGCATATAATAATTTTTAAAAAGAAGATAATAAGGAGGAAAAGTTGTATATTTTTCATTAAAAAACTATCCCTTGCTCAATGATATAAAAAGCTTCCAGTAAACTGACCATACAAGAAATGATTGTTAAGTGAATCTATTTCAGTAATGAAAACCATTATAAAACCAGTTATATTTTTTCTGAAGAAAAAACAGCCTTTTATGTGGTAAAATTACATGTTTAAAGATATAATAAATATTTTATAAATCAAAATTATAAAAGGAGAGCAGAATAATTTATCACAATTATGTACTATTATATACCATATAGAAATTATCAATATTATATATCACTCTAGACTTCAAAGGAAGTATCTGCATTATGTCAAACGGTGAGCATTACTCAGCTGCCAGAATTTCATTGTCAGAACCTCATCGAGGTAGGCTCTGTTCTTTTGTCCAATGATGGCAAGGAAGAAAAGTACCCTGACCATCTGGCAGGGATGCTCTGGTGGGCATGCCTGCCTTGGGCAGGTATGGGATGGAAGTCTGAGACCTCTTTTAACCCTGAGTGTTTATGCCTTAGCAAAGGAGCCAAATAATCTCCAAATTCCATAAGTTTTATGAGGCTTAATGTGAGGCCATATTTGGAATTCTTGTAGCAATTTTTTACTTATTTTGTAAAAAACTCCCAATTCTAAATTCTAATTAAGAAAAGCACAAATGCATATGATGAGGTCTTCCTAGCAATTTCCTTGATGTTCTTTTGGAATACAAAATTATACTGATTTTACATTACCTGAGTTTTCACTAACTCAAGTATAAAGGGAGGGGGGGAAGAATGTGAATTCTTTCATCCTAAAGAGCTATCAGCATTTCAAAAGCAAGAAAGTCATTCTGCAACTTCCCTGTCTATCTGGGAGGGGAAAAATGAATTTAAAATAAAGCAAATGGTTAAGAACTAGTGTTAATTGAAGATCAATCAGGAGTTAACCTACATTACGTCTGAAATTATAGTGCTAATTGATGGAATGCTAGGATTCAATTTAAAAGCAGATGGTTCACATACAGATTTTCACAACTCGAGTAATATAAAAGATTAGATATCCTGCCATATTTGTTTACCCTTTCAATAGGCAGGAAGGAGCTCCTTCAAAGATGCACATGTAAAAGAAGAAAACTTCCTCTCTAGTTTCATTGGTTTAATTTCATTGGGGGCCTAGGCTTGGGATGAAGGTAGGTAGGGGCAGGGTCTGAGCGGTGAGTAGATACATATTACCAAACATAAATTGCCAGTACGCTTTCTGTTTAACTGCTGTGCACATGAAATCTCTGTTCCCAGCAAGGAGAAATTTGCAGGCTGGTTGCATTCATCACCAGAAAAAGCCCTGGATTTTCTGCTGCTGTTGTGTTTGGTGGCTTGTTTTAATTAGGGACCAGGAAATTGATCAGTTTTAGCCCACCAAGCACGAATTCCAGCTTAGACTCTTATTCTTTTCGCCACCATCTTCAGAATTAATTTCTACAGTTCTTCAGCTGCATCAGCATTTTGACCCTGTGTTCAGGTGAATCCAAAACAGTTGCTTGAGTTGGTCAATACAAACATGAAAAATCATGAAATACAGTCGAGAAAATCATCGTTTCAGTCAAAAAGTTGATATAAATGCAGTAAGAAAAGCCTAAAGTTCACCTTTTTGATGAGAAACAAAGGGCTGTGAAGAGATTTTACTCTAAGGCAAAATTTAAGACAAATGCTTTTAAAATGTCACTATCTCTACAACCTAAAGAGCCCTAGGCACAGTGTCTATGTGTATCCTTTTAACAGTGAATGAATTTAACATTCTATAAACACTTGCCTGTATTTCTGCTCTCCACCCCAACACATACACACAAAATAAGACAAAGCACTAGTTTTAGATGCAAATATTGTACTCTTTCCTTAATAGATACATTTGTTGTTTAATGGAACCTATTATTTTGGAAGTGAATCCTTTAGTTCTTAAGATGGTATCAAGTATAACATTGACTTGCATTTCAGAAAACAGTGGTACATGTATGACTGGAGAGAGGTATGACTCTCTCCAGGCCCTTCAGGAAGAAATTTAAAACAAGAACCACAGTCAGAATTTAGTTTTCAATTCCCCCTTATCTAAGGTCTATGTGAATTGAAAATAAGAAAAAGAAGAAGAAGGAGGAGGAGAAAAAGCTTTAAAAGGAAAAGTCTTACTAAAGGATAAAAAAAAATCTGCAAATAATTGGACAATACAAAATAAAATCCTTATCTCCTATAAAGCACAACCAAACACTACCTGGTTCTTGATGAAGTCTCTCTAACGGCAGAAATATGTGAATGAATATAAAATAAGTTAGCAAATGCCTTCGTTACTACTGGCATATTAGAGAGAATGGTGGAGGGGAACTAAGGGATATGAGATCTGATCTTGGCACCCACCAGCTGGTCATCTATGACATTGACCAAGCCCCATGCCCTCTCTGGGCCTCAGCTTCCTCATCTTTAGTATAAGGGGATTCATTTAGATCAGAGTTTCCCAGTGAGTTTGTTACAACTCTAGTTCCATAGGATGGTGGGGGTATAAGGTGAATTTTTTTTTTTTTTTTGAGACGGGGTCTAGCTCTGTTGCCCAGGCTAGAGTGCAGTGGTGCAATGTCAGCTCACTGCAACCTCTGCCTCCTGGGTTCAAGCGATTCTTCTGCTTCTGCCTCCTGAGTAGCTGGGACTACAGGTGCCTGCCACCACGCCCAGCTGATTTTTGTATTTTTATTTTTATTTATTTTTTTTTATTTTTATTTATTTATTTTTTTTTTTTGAGACGGAGTCTCGCTCTGTCGCCCAGGCTGGAGTGCAGTGGCGGGATCTCGGCTCACTGCAAGCTCCGCCTCCCGGGTTCACGCCATTCTCCTGCCTCAGCCTCCCAAGTAGCTGGGACTACAGGCGCCCGCCACTACGCCCGGCTAATTTTTTGTATTTTTAGTAGAGACGGGGTTTCACCGTTTTTTTTAGCCGGGATGGTCTCAATCTCCTGACCTCGTGATCCGCCCGCCTCGGCCTCCCAAAGTGCTGGGATTACAGGCGTGAGCCACCGCGCCCGGCCCGTGATTTTTGTATTTTTAGGAGAGATTGGCTTTCACCATGTTGGCCAAGCTGGTCTTGAACTCCTGACCTCGTGATCTGCCCGCCTCAGCCTCCCAAAGTGTTGGGATTACAGGCATTAGCCACTGCGCCCAGCAAAAAAATTTTTTAAATACTAAATTAAATTCAGTTAAAAGATTATATAGTCAATAAATTAGGAAAACCCTGGGTTAAATAAAGTGAAACAGGTATCTTTACTGCAGAATGTCTCAGGCTCCCTGGCATGCTGTATCATATTACTGAACGGAACTAGGATCCAGTTGTCTGGTGCAGTAAACCCAGACACAGATGCTTGAGATTTGCAGTGGAGAAAAGGAGATTTATTGCATGGCATTAAGCAAGAAGAATGAGCAGTTAACGCTTGAGACCTGAACTACCTAACAGCTTACAAGCAACGGTTTCAGGAGAGCAGAAGTTGCCGTCAAAATTGTAAACCAACTCATGGAGGCTATATATTGGTTTGGCCCATAGGTATGACTCTCTCCAGGCCCTTCAGGAAGAAATTTAAAATAAGAACCACAGTCAGAATTTAGTTTTCCATTCCCCCTTATCTAAGGTCTATGTGATAGCAGTGGGCATTTTCCAGCTGATGGGAGTTTCTGTAAAACAACTCAAGAACATATGCTAAGATGTTGTCTTTTAGTTTCTATAAGGAGCCAAAACAACTTATGACTCTGGCTTGCTTGGGAGATTGTTGTTACTATTTTCTTGCTTATCTGTTCCTCATTTACTTTTTTATTTTTTTGAGCTCTGTCACCCAGGCTGGAGTGCAGTGGCGGGATCTCGGCTCACTGCAAGCTCTGCCTCCCTGATTCACGCCATTCTCCTTCCTCAGCCTCTTGAGTAGCTGGAACTACAGGCATGTGCTTCCACTTCCAGCTAATTTTTAAATTTTTTGTAGAGACAGGGTCTCACTATGTTGCTCTGGCTGGTCTTGAACTCCTGACCTCAAGTTATCCTCCCATCTCAGCCTCCAAAAGTGCTGGGATTATAGATGTGAGCCACCACACTTGACCTATAGCTTAATGCTGAAATAAGAATAATAGGCACTTCGCAAAACTGAGTCCCTCAAGGGACTGAACCTGCCTTTGTAAGACTTTGTGAAAGGCCACAAAATTAGGATTATAACAGGGGTCTGAATTCTGCTAAGACATAGGCATAATTAAACAATAACCAGCCATTGTTCCCTAGCTTGCTTTTTGATAATTGCTTACTGCTCAGGAGTCATGTTGCTGGAGGTCACAAGATTTGTAACTTCCCCAATTGCTCCTATAGATAACATCACTATTGTAAAACCCAACACTGATCTTTCAGATACTTTTTAGACTTTTGCATTCTAGTGGTCCAACTGACACCACCTGTACCCACTCATACCAAGGAACTGACTTAATTGGTCCTGTAACCTCCCACCCAGAAACTGATTCAGCACATGAAGACAGTTTTGACATTCCTATGAGTTCATACCCAGCCAATCAGCAGCACCCATTCCCTAGCCCCCTGCTTACCAAATTATACTTAAAAACCTAGCCTCTGAGTTCTCAGGAAGGTGGATTTGAGAAATATTTCTCATCTTCCTCACTCTGTGCCCCACAAATATTAAACTCTTTCCCTACTGCAACACCTGCTGTCTCAGTGTATTGGCTTCTTCTGTGCAACAGGCCATAAGAACCCTCTGGTTTCTTCTGGTCTGTAACAAAAGTGCCATACATGCATAAGCTATCACAAAATAATGTCTGGCACAGAGTAGCACTCCATACATATTTATCCCCAAATTAATGAGTACATATGCTACAACACTCATAAAAATCTTTCCAAAAGGAAAATACAATATACATTGACCATTGTGTCATTTGACTTTAGAAACTTTACCCTCACAAAATCCAAAAGTATACAATGAATTTTTTTTCCCAACCCTTTCTGCTAACCATCCCACAACTCTCCTTGAAGACAACCAATGTTACCAGTTTCTTACGTACATTTCAGATATTCTATGCAAAAACAAGCAATTTTTTTCTATTTTCACACAAAATATAACATATGGCAAAACATATACATGCTATATACATATGTGTATATATAGTATTGTTGGGGCTCAGAAAACAATGCCCTAAAATATGTTGCTTTGACATGCTGGCTTAAAGCAGCAGCCACAAACTCTATTTCTGACCCCCTGACTCCTCTCTCTGATCCTCTTCTTTTCTGAGGCACCAGAAGAGACTTTCTTTGGAATTTTCTTATCTGAATAAGAAAACTTCTTTCCAAAAGAAATACAATTATCTTAAAACCCTCTCTCTATGAATTTCCTCAAAGAAACAGGAAAGATTAAGAGAGGAGACTGGGAGTTGTCATTATGCACAAGTAGACTTTTCCATCTATTCTTCTGAGAGAAGCTCTGAGAGATTACCTGGGAGATTGTATCTGCATAATAAGACAACATTTGTTCTGTCTTTCACCTTCCTGTAACTTGTCCACAAACTATTGTTTGTCCTTCAATCGTTGACAAACCATTGCCTGATCTTTGGGCCCATTCATTTACGGCTTCCCCCTTTACATCTCCCCAGTGAAGATGATATTTAAGCATCAACTATCTGGTCTTTCTTTGAGTTTTCACCCTTTTTCTGCCCTTACAATACACACACACACACACACACACACACACACACACACACACACCCCTTAATTTTTTCTACTTAAGATATCTTAGAGAAAAAGTTCTAAGATCCTTAATAAGATCTTAGAAAATACTTATGAATATATTATATTACACTTTCCAGATGTACTACAGTTTATTTAAAAGTCATCCACTAGAGGAAATTTAGATCGTTAACAATCTTTTGATTATGGACAATGTTGCCATATAGATGTATCATTTCTGTGACTACAGCTGTAGAATAAATTCCTAGAATTGCAGAGTCAAAGACATATGTTTATAATTTTGATATATTTTTGCCAAATCACTTACCATCACTGTATGATAGAGTTGTTTACCATATTCTTACTCATATAGTCTTCAAACTTTTGAACAAACATTTAAAACAAACATCAATTTAGTTTTCACTTAGATATATCTTATTATGAATATAACTGGGTATCTTTTTCTATGTTCAAGGGAGTCATTTATATTTCTTTTATGTGTGTATGTGAATTCTCTCTTCATATAAATTATGACTTAAATTATGACTTTATTATTAAGTTGTAAGAATGCTTTACATACTTGGGAAACAAGCTTTTGTGATGTGAACTAAGAATCGTCTATCAGATTATTGTTACTTTTTACTTTTTGTCATAATTTATTATATGCACAAATTTTCATTTTCATACATTAAATTAAGAGTCCATACATAACCATTTTGCTCTATTTTTTACTTGAGTTGTCATGTTGGGTGTACTAATAAATCCAATATAAGTTCACCTTACTCTCATGAATAAGATGTCTCTCTTATCTTTAGTGTGTAGATAAGATAAATGAAGTTCTGAGCGTATAAGTAACTAGTCATGCATTAAGTGGCAGAGCCAAGATTTAGACCCAGATTCTTTGGGTTACACTTGATGTTTTTAGCCTCTTTGCTGAATTGCATCCTGAAATACCTGTAAGTTTCATGAAAGTTAAGCCTGTCTTTATTTTTTGTATTCTAATAGTACCTAACACAGGGCAAGGCACATAGATTTTCACTAACTGATGGACTGTTTTCCATCTACTTCTTTCTCTCTCTTTCTCTTATTAATGTAGCTCTTATGGGTAACGTGCTAACTTTCAGCCTCTTATATTGATTTTTAAGAAGTCCACAAAGTCCTCAGATAAGAGAGAATTCACAGGAAGACAAACATCAGACACAAAATAGCTAAACGACATTTGTTTTAGAATAGTCTAGGGTGACTTCATTTGGACAGATAAATGTTTTCACTTTAATGGGAAGCAAAGACACTAGCTACATACAGACACTGAAGTCCTCAAATAATCAAAAGTTCACCTCTTTCTAGAGGCCAAGCAGGGAGCCAGCATCATTTACCAACCACAGAGAGGTATGACATGAGGACTGCATATCATGGCAGTTAGCATTAGGGCAAGAAAATGATGCCCCAAAATACAGTGCTCTGGCATGCCAAGTGCTTTGAATTTTAAACAATGGAAAGGCCTCAGAAATAATCCTTAGAACCAAGATCTCTCTCTGATCCTTTCCTGCTCTCCTGTGTCTCTGATCCTCTTTCTTTCCTGAAGCACCAGGACAGATTTTCTCTGGAGAAATGCAATTGTCTTAAGACCCCCTTCCTAGGAATCTCATCAAATAACCAGGAAATATTAATCTCTAGAGAAGAGAAGACGCTAGGAGTCATTGCCATGCCCAGGCAGATTTTTCATCTGTTCTTCTGAGGACAGTTCTAAGAGATTACTTGTGAGGCTTTATCTGCATAACAACAAAACTTTTGTTCACAGTGAAGTTCCACCCCTCACCTTCCTGCCATCTCCCCCACAGCACAGAGGAACTCTGTCCCAGGCCTTTGTTCTTTGGGTCATTCCTTTCCCATGAAAATGATTTACTTTTACAACCTCCATCTCCCCTTCCCCTATGAAGAAGTGTACATAAGTATCTGGACCTCATCGGGTTATTGGGGAATCATTATCCTGTAATTCCCTCTTGCTCATGCACATTAATTAATAAAGCAAAGGCAAAGCTTTCCCTCTTCAACACTGTATTAGTGATCCCTCAGCTGTAAGACATCCCATCCCTGGTAGCCCATTTCTAGGATAATAAGCATGTGATTTCCCGTTCGCATCTCAGAGAGCCCTACCCCACACGGGCATTTCCCGAGGCTGCCTGTATTGCTTTATTACTCCACCTAGCCTCCGAGAAGCAGCGGTAGTTCACTGTGCCCATGAGATTAGCAAGCGAGTAAAGGGCACTACAGCAAACCGTTGCCGCTGCACTGCTCTCCACCATCAATTAAAAATGGACGCACAAAAATCAGATCAGTTAAGTCTTTACTAAACTTTGGCCTAAACAATGAGCCTTATTTGCTTAGGCAGTATGTGGGAGAGAAGCAAGGCCCTCGTTGCTGTTGCTGTGTATCTCTGCTTGATGTTTCATTTTAAAAAACAAACAAACAAAAAAAGAATGTTACTGTTTCACACTCCCTTTAAAAAAAAAAAAAAAGGACCTGACAGTCTCTGAAGCCAGCCTCTTGTACAACCTAACCTTGTGCTCTCTTTTATCTTTCCTCCTTCGTGCTGCTAGATCATTCAAGCCCAACTCCTCCCTCTCTTGCTTGCCCCAGCCCTGTATTACTCCACCCCCTCTGTAGTGCTATAGAGGCGCTGCGGGGCACAGGCTCCCCACCTGGCTGGGCTTGGGAATCACTGGGGAAGCTTTTTAGTATGAATCTGCGGGCCTGAGTGGAAAGTCACTGAATCAGAATGTCAGGGCAGGAGGGGAAGGGGAAGGTGTCTCACAAACTTGCTTTTTTGTTGTTGTTGTTGCTGCTGCTGCTATTGTTTGATTGGTTAGTTGGTTTGGTTTGGTTTGGCTTGATTTTGTTTGTTTTTTAATGATTTTAATGCAACCAGTTAGAAAGGGCCAGAGTCTGGGAACCACTGCCATAGAAAATTTCTGTCTGGAGATGAGCAATTGAATTAGGCTAGTTTAAAAGTTCTTTTCTACACCAAGATTCCGATATTTGGTATTGCGTACAAGCAAAACGAAGTCCATAAGGTGCAAAGAGTGAGGTGTGTGCAAGTTGTATTTGGATTTTGTTTCCATCACTTGCTATGTGACCTTCACCAAACTTGTAAAGTTCTTGAATCCTCCATTTCTCCATCTGTAAAATGGGAGTAGTAACTGCCCTCACCTCATATGACCATTATGAAAGTTACCTGAGATAGGATGTAGAGGGCCCAGTACATAGAAAGTATTCAATAAATGCTAGCTCTTATCAGTGACTTCAACATTCTGATTGAGCACTCAAGTCCCTGGAATAAAATAGCACAGTAAGACAGGTGCAGTAGCTCATGCCTGTAATCTTAGCACTCTGGGAGGTGGAGGCAGGAGGAATCACTTGATTCCAGGAGTTCGAGACTAGCCTGGGCAACATAGCAAGACTCCAGTCTCAACCAAAAAATTAAAAATTAGCCAGGTGTGGTGGCACACACCTGTGGTCCTAGGTACTCAGAAGGCTGAGGTGGGAGGATTGCTTAAGCCCAGGAGTTTGAGGCTGCAGTGAGCTATGATCACACCACTGCACTCCAGCCTGGGCAACAGAGTGAGACCCTGTCTTTAAATAAACTAACAAATAAAATGGTGCATCTGCACACAACCTCCCATATTCTTTAAATCACTTCTAGGTTACTTATAATAACGCAATATAAATGCTATGTAAATAGCTGTTACACTGTATTTTTAAATTTGTATTATTTTTAATTGTAGTATTATCATTTTATTGGGTTTAAAACAAATATTTTTGATCCAAGTTTGGTTGAATCCACAGATGCAGAACTTGTGGCTATGGAGGGCTGACTGTCCTTAAATTACTAAGTTAAAAAGATTTTTAAAAATTTAAATAAATGCTAGATCTGCAGTTGTTGTTGTCGCCTTTCAATGGTAAACTGCTGTTACTTACAACGCTTCTGACACTAAATTTGTGTGTTTTTTTTTTTTTTTTTTCCTGACACTATCCAATTCTCTAAGCATCTGGACATCAACTGGTTGCCCTTCATCCCAACTCAAGTCAGACAGTAACTACGCAGAGTTTGATAATTTGCTGGAATGGCTCACAAAGTGAGGGAAATATTTACTTACGTTGACTGGTTTATTATAAAGGAATAAAGGATACAAATGAAAAGCCAAATAAAGAGATACATAGGGTGAAGTCCAGAGGGTCCCGAGCACAGGAGTTTCTCTGCCCCCAAGGAGTTGGGGCACATCACCCTCCCAGTATGTGGATGTATTCACCAACTCGAAAGCTCTCAGAGTATTATTATTTAGGTCTTTCACAGATGTTCCATGAAGTAGGTATGATTGATTAAATTATTGGCTATTGGTGATTGAGCTCAATCTCCATCCCCCCCTCCACTCCTAGAGGTTGAGGGATGGGGCTGAAAACCAAATCTCTAATCACATGGTTGGTTCCTCTGGAAATCCACCCCATCCTGAAGCTATCTAGGTGCCCACCTATAGTCATTTCATTAGCATAAACTCAGGAATAGTTGAAAGAGGCTTGTTATGAATTACAAAAGATGTGCCTATTATCCTTATCACTGAGGAGTTTTAGAAGCTCTCTGCCAGGAACAGGAGAGAAAGACCAAATATTTATTTCTTATTAGTGGTTGTCCAACTCTTCCTGGGAAGCTCAGATATGCTGCAGGTGCTGAGTCTACCATACAGGAGAGAAGGCAGTGCCAGACTGGCAGTACAGGACATCCTAAAGTGAAATATTTGTCAAGATGGACTGAGACCACTGAAGGTGGGTCCCCTGTCTTCAAAAGCTATAGGTGCCCCAAAGGTATGATTATCATTCAGCACAACCTCCCGGAGTGAGGGGTTAAGGGAGGGGAGGATTTTATATTCTGTTTGCAACCTCCTGGGCATCCTCCTTCTCCCTCTTCAGTCCTTTGTCTGTTTACTCATCAGAGCCCAAAAAGGAACAGGGAAGCAATCTGGTATTATGACTATAACTGTTTATGTTTCTTAATATTATAATCATCATCCAGATCATTTCTGTTGTTATTCTTACTTAATGTCTAAACGGCCCACAGGGCTCTCAAGATGTACACAGTGGAGATGCCGGTTAAAACTGTGGTGGGGCCTGGCCGGGCGCGGTGGCTCAAGCATGTAATCCCAGCACTTTGGGAGGCCGAGGTGGGCAGATCACGAGGTCAGGAGTTCGAGACCAGCCTGACCAACATGGTGAAACCTCGTCTCTACTAAAAATACAAAAATTAGCTGGGCGTGGTGGCACGCACCTATAATCCCAGCTACTCAGGAGGCTGAGGCAGGAGAATCACTTGAACCCTGGAGATGGAGGTTGCAGTGAGCCGAGATCACATCACTGCACTCCAGCCTGGGCGACAGAGCAAGACTTCATCTCCAAAAAAAAAAAAAAAATTGTGGTGGGGCCTGAAGTCAGGCCCCTGGGCTGGCAGAAGCAGCAATGACAGTCAGTCTCACTCACTCACTGCACCGTGGGCTTCCACCCACAGCTCCTCATTCCTAATGCCAGCCCTTCTCAGAAATGATCTGTAAGTGATCTGTAAGTCCTTTCTCAGGGACTTAAGGGAATTGCAAATTTATTCTCCTGCCACTAGGTGGCAGGCAACACGATGTGCATTTTCCAAGGAAGATATTAACGACAGTCATAAACGGTCCCCCTCTGTCTCCAAGTATTTATTCCCTATAATAAAGTCAGTAAATCTCAAGCTCATTTCTGATTGCAAGCCCAACTTGCTCCATCTGAGAGCACCCCAGGACTGCCTGCTGTAATGTCTGCCATTCAGGGATTCATAATCACAACTCTGATAATAGCAAATCCTTGTGTCTATGGCATTTTATAGTTTACAAAGCACTGTAGGGTTGGTAAAGCTCTTTTGCATGCAGGATCTTATTTGACAAGTGAATGTACATACACACCAAGCCCAGCCATAATGCAACTTCATTATACTGATGAACAATGCATACACAATGTCCTGCTGATCCATTTGCATCCACTTTATATGGAAACAGTTGCTACAGAAGGTCTTGGAACCAATGGCAGTATTTTAAGGTACTCAACTAGTGATAGGCATCACTTCAGCTCAGTGTCTCTGGGACCACCATGGGGAGGTCAGCAGCTGAAAGGCCAAAGCTTTTGGGCTGGGCACGACGGGTACAGCATCTCCTCATTTGGTCTAGTAATGCCACATCATAGAGGTCTGGTTTGTTCTTTTTTCACAAACAAGAACCAGCTACATCTTGTCATTTGCATATAGCCAGCATGAGTTAAGTCACCCTTGCACTCTGGAATAAATTAATTCGTTCAAGAAGGGAATGAATCCTGTATATGTGAGTGTGTGTGTGGCGTGGTGGCGGGGGGGCGGATTTGGGGGGATTGAGGGTAAGAGAATTGAAAATCCACTTGTCTGAGATTATTTTCATCTGTCTCGCAGTTTTATAACTCTTTCTGAAAAGGTCTGATTCCTTTTATTAACAATTGTGAAGGCTTTTCTCCCAGGCTGAATTTAAGAGGCCAACTCTGCATAGGCAGATAGTGATACATTGCAGAGCTCATCGTTTTCTGTTGTGAACTACAAATGGCACACGTTTGTATTTCATAAAATCAGCATAAAAGCAAAAAATGTATTGGCTTGGAGAGTGAGTTTGTCCATCAATGTAATATTCCTATTAGTGCAGCTCTTCAGCTGTGGAAAAAAACCACATTGTATTCCAATAATTAAATAGAGCAGGTGAGTGTTAGGACTTCCACATTAGAAACTCTCTAGTTACACATTGCATATATTTTATTATAGGGCTGGAGGGAAATGAATTTTGCATAATTTTCCGAAAATCCTCACTGCATGTGGAGGCTACAGAAAGCCATGGCTGTTCCCTTAGACTGATGTTTAATCAAGTCCCTTCCTCTCCAACCGGCCACTGAGATGATGCTGTTCAGTCTCCCTGGGTCACCCACTGTCCCAGGCCTCTCAGTGCCAGTCTCAGATACCTCTGGTAACATGACTTGCTATTTCAGAATGCAAGTTGCATAGCAGGTGCAAATTCTGTGATGGAACTTGCAGAATGGACAGAGCAAAATCTCACCAGTTTCATTTCATCTGTGCCCAAAGCAGACTTTATAAAGCAATAAAGACTGAATGTCTAAGGACTTAAAAGAAATGTGCTGTGTTATCATCAATTTATGAAACTCCCACAAGGAAGCAGGCATGATACAAAACATACAAATTGTATCGTTGTTGCCTCTGGAAGTTTAAATGGCAAAGTACAAAATGTTGAAATTGGATATTACTTCTGTCTCACCTCTTTCCTCTCTCTCCCTAACCTTTTTTTAAATTTTCTCTTTTGCCTTTGAGTTTGAAGGGTTCCCTCTGGCGACTAGAGCTTGGCGAAGACTCTGAGTGTAATATCGTAGAAGACACCGAGGTGTGAGCCACTTCTAAATACTGGGTCGGGGCTAGGGCCACGAGAGGGGAGTGGCGAGAAGTGTGTGTGTGTGTGTGTGTGTGTGTGTGTGTGTGTTGAACAAAGGGGTGCAAGTTAAATGGGGCTAAAAAAGAAGGAAAACAGATGGAGATATTGACTAGGCTGTGTTCACTTTGTTTCTGCGATACATCCTCCCTCCCTACCTCCACATTACCATCCAACCCTTTGGGAATTACTGGCCACAAGGACCTTTCCCTGCTTTTGGACATAAGCCTCATACTCATTGCACAAACTCTCCTCTGTGTTTAGAATGTGTCAGGCATTACGGAAGCAAGGATGACAAGGGCATGGCTCCCACTCTTGACAAGATCCTAATCGTGTGCTGAAGACAATTCTGCCATCCCAGTACAGAAGAACATGTTCTACAAGGACTGAGCGAAGTGCTAAGGGAACAAATGCATCTGTTCTGAGTGTCTGGGGCAGCTTCAGAGGACAGGGGACATCTTATAAAAGGCTGAAGGAGATAAAGAAATTCTGTAGAATTCTGGGCAGAGAAGACATACACGTAGTACAAAAGCAGAAAATTGCTCAGCCTGTTTTGAGCGATGATAAATTCTGTTGAAGAATATTGAAAATAAGAGTTGTAAAAGTTGGTTTTACAACTGTTTTACAACAGTTGATCTTACTGTCAATTGCTTTATATGCTACAGTTAGCCGAGTCCTTTTAATTGCAAGTAACAATACCCAGGCTGGAGCTCAGGTTTGGGACAGGGAGAGTTGTTCTCATTGTTAAGAAAAACTATTATAGAAGTGCTAAGATGTCTCACAGGACTCAGGAAGAAGGATACAGTTAGGCTTCAGAAACAACTGGAAGCAGGCCGGGCATGGTGGCTCACGCCTGTAATCCCAGCACTTTGGGAGGCTGAGGCGGGTGGATCACAAGGTCAGGAGATCGAGACCATCCTGGCCAACATGGTGAAACCCTGTCTCTACTAAAAATGCAAAAAAAAAAAAAAAAAATTAGTTGGGCATGGTGGCGGGCGCCGGTAGTCCCAGCTACTTGGGAGGCTGAGGCAGGAGAATGGTGTGAACCCAGGAGGCAGAGCTTGTAGTGAGCAGAGGTAGCACCACTGCACTCCAGCCCGGGCGACAGAGCGGGACTCCGTCTCAAAAAAAAAAAAGGAAAAAACTGGAAGCAGAGACTTGCATATTGTCAGTAATCCAGTCATCTAGATATCACAAATTTCTGCTCCTCTCTCTCTCTCTCTCTGCCTGTCTTTTTCTCTGCATGATATGTACGTGTGTTGTTTAAATGCTTTCTCATTTACTTTTCTTGTCCACAAAATGAGAAACATGGCTGCCAACGCACCCTGGCTTTCAGTCTTACATTCAAGGAATGCAAAGAGAAAGTGACTTCTTTTTACCCATTTCAGTGCCAAAATTCCCAGGGAAGAATTTAACTCAACTTAGGTTATGTCAGGTATCTATGGAACAATCTGCTATGGACATGGGGCATTACAATGTTCAAACCAGCATGGGTCCTTTGCCAAGTCCTCAACCAATATAAGAAAACTGGGCACTGGGGGAGGGATGTCTTCATGCAGCTACTATTCTGCAGCCTATGGATAGACAGAGGGTCAAATCCTCAAATTAAAAAAAAAAAAAGATAGTGCTGAGCAGACAGTTCTATAGGAGCCCACTCCACCATGAGCTCCATTCAAAGCCACAGGGAAATATTACCAGCTTCAAGGAGACAATGACATGGTCTGATCCAATCTGTCCCCAAGATACGGACAACAATCTACTTCGGAATTTACCATAGCATCTAATAATTTTATTGTCAGCAAGTGTTTCTTTATATCTGACCTGTCATATCTACACTTCCTTTAGAGAATATGAAATATTCTCCTCATGACCACAGACTCAAAGACAACTAGTAAGTATTTCTAAAATGTGTCCCCTATAATCAAGCACTGACAAAAAGACTGCCACGTAGTGAGTATTCGGCTAGGTTCTAGGTTTTTAATAGCAACTAAGATCCAGTCCATGCTGACAAGGAGTTTGAAGTCTGGGACCTAGCAAGACGGCAAAGACAAATCAAACCTCCACCAACTAGCCAGCAGAGCATTTGGTTATGTTTCTCTGTCCCCTTCTGAAGACCCAGCTCTGTGAGAACTCGGAGGATGCAAAGACTGCCTCTCCCACTGCCCTCCCCATCCCTGACCTCCAGATGTTTGGGTGCCAGCAGGTTTGAACCCAAGATAGGCAACTCTGCACCGAGAGCTCCTCTCCCACTCGCTGGTGTGCAGTTCAGTCACAAAAGAAGCCCTCTAGTTCACAGGCTGCTGAGCCCTGACAAGGAGGAAGCAGAGGGCTTCAGGCCGAGCACAGCCAGCCCACGAGACTCTGTGAATCCACTCCATGGATGCTTGCTTGCCCAGAGGAAGTTGGTACCCTGAGTCTATCATGCCCTTCCTGGTGACCGAGCCTCAGCACTTCCTGAAAGAGTGAGCAGCCTGAGAATCAGGACACCTTGGCTCTCACCCACAGGGAGGAAAAGAGGCAGATAAATACTCCTGGGAATCAGAGAATCGAGCTTAGAAGCTCCACGATCTGCCGGATCAGCTGAGCTAGGCAGAAACTACCATTGCTGGAAACCAGGGCCAGAAAAGGAACATGTGGGTGGCACACGCATGAACATCTGGTGCTTCTGCTGTGACTGGTGACTCTTCCACTCCTCGTTGGGGGGGACACAGGGCCAGGAGACTGGTCCTACCACTTCAACCCCAGCTGTAACCCTAAACCCCCAGCCGAGTTAAACCCCAAATCATTACTCTGGAGGCTTGGGGAACGGAGGCAGGAGTTGGCATTATTTTTCCACGCAAGTCGGAGCCTGAAAGCTTTGTTTCAGCATAGGCGGAAGCCTCCACTCCAGGGCTTGGGGTGGGCTCGGGAGGCCGCCCGCCGTCGGCCTGACTCACAGCGAGCTCGGCGCTCCCTCTTGTGGCTTCTGTGTTCCCCGTCAGCCTCGGGAAGCTGCCGGCCACCACATACAAATGGACTCCGCGTAGTTAAGCTGTCAGGTCTAATGTATTTATTTGACTCTCTCCTGTTAAAATGATTTCTCTACAGCACTGCGGTTATTTACGACTATTGTCAGTACAAGGCGATGAGAAGGCAGCAGCAGAGGAAAACAACAACAGCTGAAGGAAAAGTTCTGTCTGGGAGGGCTGGGTGGCTGGGTGGCTGGGTCCCGGGCTTTCCCGCGGCTGCAGCGGCTGTGTGTTTACTTTATCTGCAGCGGGGGCTTCGGAGCTCATCCATCCATAATGCAGAGCCCATTGCCCTCAGCCCGCAGTTCACGGCCAGCCCCAGTGAGCGCCCTTGCGGAGGAGCTGTGGCCCGGGGAGGACACCCCCAGCTCTTTTGAGCGCTAAACATTTTCACAGAGACCCCGCGAATGGGCTTTTGGCTTTTCTAGGGTCCAGATCGAGTTCTTTCTTATACAGAACCTGGGACCCAGATGTCGTCCCATGGTTTGTCATTTTGGGTACTGTTTGCCAGAATGCCGTCCCTGGGTAGCAGCATCCACGTCACCTAAGAATTTGTTAGAAATGCATACTCTCAGGTCCCACCCCAGGTTGAAAGAATGGAAGTTCCAGGGATGGAGCCCAGTCATCTGCCTTGTAACAAGCCCTCCAAGAGATTCTGATGTGGGCAAGTGTGAGAATCACAGACCTAGAGAGTTAAGCCCCAGGACAGACCTTGAAGTGAGTTTCCACAGAGAAATGACCCAATACTCCTGCACCCCAGTCTCTTCCTTCTTTTAAAGGTTCCTAGAGGCCAGGTGAGTCCCAACCTCCCCTGGAGCTGATTTGGAAAATGATCCGCTCTGACCTGCAGTAGCATGGAACAGGAGTGATCTGAGAGAAGCAGGATAAGGTAGTGGTTAATGACACAGGTCCTGCAGTCAGTCTGTGTGCAAATTTAGATGACTCCACTTACTGCTCCTGTGATCTTGGGGAAATGACTTAATCTCTGTAAAATGAACATGAGATAGCTTTATAGGGTTATTATGACTAGATGAATTCATTCAGAAAAATTCTTTGAAGAGTGGCTGACATGTAGTGTTAATAAATGCTAACTGTGATTCCATTTTGTAATATTGGCTTCCATGTCCATCTCCAAGTCTCAGTCATCACTCAAAGCTGCAGGTTCATGGATAGATCACTTGTTATCAGAAGACCTGTGTTTATATGTAGCCTGGGCTGCTTATAAGCTACAGCACTTGGTGTAAGCCACTTAGCTTCTCTGTGCCTCAAATTTCTCATCTAAAAATCAATACCTATCTCAAGTTTTCATATAAATTATCCCATTTACTCCTCGCACAAGCATTTGTGCTAGGAAAAACAGGTCTCTCACGATGCTCATTATACAAATGAATCAACTAGGACTCAGAGAGGCCAAGTCATGTATTCAAGGTCACACAGCAAGTAGACGGTGAAATCAAGACAGGAATCCATTTCATCTGAGTCCAGGTCTAATAAATTTTTATGAGATAATGCCTGTGAGGGCACTATACAAATGATGGTTATTATTGTTGTTATTTTGGAGGGGCAATCAGAAGAAAACATCCCATTTTCTGAATGTGAATTCAGGAAATTAAAATAACAAACCATAAAGTCCTTCTGAAAAAAAAAAATAAATCAATAACACCAAAAAAAAAGAAAAAACCAACAAAAAATAGAACATTCCGCTATAGAACAAGCAGCAACATTCTGCTGCTATGATTGAGATAAAATCACAAAAATAAATAGAGAAGTGACACCACCATTTTCCCCTTCCTGGGAGATGTGTCTGTGTTCATGAAAGGTACGGAACTGACAGCAGGAGTGGATGGTGTATTTATTCCTGGGACAAGCACGGCCTCATCTGTTTAGCATTTATATAGTGCTTGCCTCCTCTGCTGCACCAAGGCGCCAGGGAGAATGGGTTATCACTGTGAAAGCTGAGGAGCAGCTGAGGTCCCTGAGCAGGACAGAGGGTCTTTCCACAGCTCCACTCCACCCCACCCTGAGTAAGGAAGGGACTGGGTGGCTTCAGACCCTCTCTGCAGGTTTGCCTGTGCTGCTCATCAGCAAGGGATTCACAGAGAAGGAGCCCAGGAGGAGAGATCTCCGGAAACACTCCTCCTGAGATGTTCTGCAACAAGCAGCTTCCTTCCCCCGTGTGGTAAGGAAAAGAAACCTCCTGCAGCTGATCTCTGGGAAATTATCCTTAAACACTGATTCTATCCTGACCCCCATCCCTTTCCCTATAAATCTTCCATAGCCTTCCATTCCTGCCTTATTCATTCTTAACTTCTCTGCCTAGTTTCCAGCCCTGCTCTTCCTATCTGGTCCTATTTTCCTGAGCTCCCAATTGTGGTCTTCACTTTAGATATACTATGATGTTATGGAAGGTGCAAGAGACCTAGAAGTGAAGAGCTGGGCCTGTGAACTGTGTGGCCTTGAGCAAGTCTCTTTACAGTTCTGTGCCTTGGTTTCATCTTCTGCAGAATAATGCCGGGCTCCTTTGAAGATAGAAGCTTGTGAAACATCTGTCATGTGTTTCAATGTGCTGTTCTATGTTTTTCTTTTTAAAAAATTTTTCCAGGAGATCCTTTGCCCTGGAGGATAATGAGATTTTTTTATTTTTAACAGAAGTAAGAAAGAGTTAAAAGTCTGCTATTGTTGGTAGAAAGAATAATTGAATTTGCATCTAAACAAGTGATGTTGTCTTGAGATGTGATTTTCTGAATTTCGTGGTGTCCCTTTTAAGTCTAGCAAGAATTAAGCCTAAACATCTCTGTTCATGGAATTTTCTCAGAGTCTAGAGAAAGGAACCCAGTGGCCTATAACAGCTAAGCTGTGAGAGTCACTGCTGTACTGAAGAAGGAAGTTATTTTGCAGGGCATTTAGGGGGTGATGGGAAAAAAGAAGGCACAGAGAGAAGAACAGAGTTAAAAAGGAAGTTGGATTTGGCTCAAAGGGGTACATGTGCATTAGCCCTCTGGTTTTTCTCTCTTACCACAAGGGAGCTCTGCTCCAAGGAGATGTTTCACAGGCTGCCCCTGGGTTACCGCCACAGCAACACTGATTTGGTAATGCAGCACGGTGAAGTGTAAACACACTTCAGGGCTTAGCTTAGGTGGGTCTCCTTGAGTTTCAGTGACACAGATGGGACCCAGATGTCCCCATAGCACCCCACCTGCAGCCTCAACAGTGAGACAAGAAAGGCTGCTGAGCTGGCTGTCAAAAGGCCTGCCATGGGGCTCACTATGACCAGGGAAGGGGACTCAGAGCAGAGGTTAGGTGGGAAGATGGAAGCTGTGGCAGAAACAGAAACAGAGGGGTCTACCAGGCAGGCCAGGGAAGTCAGCTAGAAAGGACTACTGCCCTTGATCAAACCCAGGGGGTGACACTAGCCACTGGCTTCATCACTGGAGGCCAAAAGAGAATCCAAAGGCAACATCGACACTTCTTCACTATCCCATCCTAGAGCCAAGTGAGTCCCTCACTCCCACCCTGCCACACACCCAAGCATTATCTCAGAAAAGAAGAGGAAAGAATAGGAGAGACTGAGTACCATCCCCAAATTCGGGACATTACCTTAGAATAAGCCATGTTTTATATCATGGTAGATTAAACTTTAGTCTCTTTGTCATCACTCAGGGGATATGGGGGCTTGTAAGGAAGACCAGATAAGACATAGACCACGTTTGCTGAATATGAGTATATATAAGGAATTCAGGCAACGATTCATTAGACAACTTTGCCTATCCCCTACAGAGGCTAAATGTATCCTGACCTCTCTGTTTCTGTGGCTCTAATGCACCTGTAGAATTTTAATCCTGTCCATCTAACTCTTGCTTACCCTTTGTGTCCTCATCACAGCTCATCTCATCCAGGAGTTGTCCCTGAGTCCTCCAGCCTTCATAGGTGCCATACTTCATTTGTTTCTTCCTTCATCTGTGTGTCCATTTATCAAGCCCAGATCAAATGTTCCTATGGATCAAGCACTACGGTTACAAATATGGCTATAGCACAAGGCATTTGCAAATGTCTTCAGAATCTTGCAGCACCTAGAAACTTTGATCATTAGCTCTTAGGTACATACAGTTGCTGATGTTTTGCACAAAGGTGACCCTTAATAAACATTGATTGAATGAATGAAGAACAACTTAATCTTGGATTCTTGTCCATCCTCTTCCTCTGTTTGTTCTAGAAAACAAAAGCAGGGCTGCAGCAGCACATGCTTTCATGAGGGCAGGGGATGATAAGCTTCTAAATGGTTTCTCAGGTTCCAGTGGGTACCACTAAGTGAACATCTGCAAGTTCTTCTCTCTGCTTCCCAGGGTCATGCAGTGTGGTGATACTGCTGTAGAGGGAGTTATCATAGCATAAAATAACAGGTTTAGTGGCTTGGAACCTCTACCTTTTAGCTGTTTGTTGTTGTTGTTGTTGCTGTTATTGCTACTCAGCTCAGGGAAATGAGAAAGAGAAGGACACATTTCACATGATTCCTCCTTCCTGGTCTTTAACAAGTTTAGCAGTCTACCACTAAGACCTGCTGATTCATTCTTTGGAAGAAAAATAATCTCTTATTTTTTCTTCTTCCTCTATATTCCTGTAGTCACCAGGTAGATCCAGATCCTCACCCTCAGAAATATCCGTCGATGTTCCCCAGCCTGCCATTTAGTTAAAACTCCCCTCACTCTGAGGTACACCCTCCCTTCTGGCTCACTGACATTCTTAATCATTTTCATCCCAATAGACAGAACAGTCCTGGCACCAAGTAAGCATGTAATAAATAATTATTGTATAATCAGGCACATTTCACCCTTATCTAACATGTCAAGTCTAAATTACCCCACCTGGAATTCAAGAAATTTTATACTCAGCCCCCTTGAGTTTCCTCTCTAACTGCTTTGTAGCTGACCCCTCTAATCTAGGACTCCAGATCCCTCATCACTGTCCATCAGGGCCCAGGATGATTCTGACCTTAGGCAGAAGACTCTCTATCCAGGCATCCCAACATTTGCCCTCATTCCCTCTTTCTTCAACCATCTTAATTCTATCCATGCTTTCATTGATCTGAAGAGGCTCTCAACGAATATCCATGCTGTGCAGTTCAGTTCCACTTCTTATAAGAAGCCCTCTGACTATGCCTGTGTGGGGCTCATTCCTGCTTGCCTGCAACACTGTCTTCCATTGGTTTACTTGTATGGATCTCTCACGTGGCTACTCAAATGTCACCCCTGCTACTGTAAAAGTTCTCCAAAGCCAGGGGCTATTTTACTTTCTCTTTTCATCTCCTTTTTACTTTTCTATCTTTTAATATGGTTTTTCCTTTTATTAATATATAATATTTTATGTATTTATGGGGTATATGTGTTTTTTACATGCATAGAATGTGTAATGATTGTGTTCTAGCTACTTTGAAATACATAATAGGTTGTTGCTAACTACAGTCACCCTAATCGACTGTTTAATATTGAAATTTTTTTTCTTCTATCTCACTGTAAGTTTGCACTCAATCACCAACCTTCTTTGTTTCTTCATCCTATCTTCACAACCTTCTCAGCCGCTTGTATCTACCATTCTATTCTCCATCTCCATGTGATCAAGCTTTTTAGGTCCTACATATGAGTGAGAACATGTACAATTTGTGTTTTTGTGCCTGGGTTTTTTTTACTTAACAAAGTGACCTCTAGTTCTATCCATGTTGCTGCAAATAACATGATTCCATTCTTTTTATGGGTGAATAGCATTTTATTATGTATATATGCTACATTTTTATTATCCATTTGTCCACCAATGGACACTTAGATTGATTCCATGTCCTTGCTATTGTGAATAGTGCTGCAATAAACATGTAAGTACATATATCCCTTTGATATATTGATTTCTTTTCCTTTGGATGGCTCTCCACTAATGGGATTACTGAATCATATGGTAGTTTTATTTTTAGTTTTTTGAGGTGTCTCCATACTGTTTTCCGCAGTGATTGAACTAATTCATATTAACAACAAAAATGTATAAGAGTTCTCTTTTTTCCACATCCTCGCCAGCATCTGGTATTTTTCTGTCTTTTTAATGATAGCCATTCTATTTGGGGTAGGATGATATCACATTGTGGTTTTGATTTGAATTTCCCTGTTGCATAGTGATGTTGAGGATTTTCTTCACGTACCTGTTGTCTATTTATGTTCTTTGCCCACTTTTTAATAGGATCTTTTTTTCACTGTTGATTGAGTTGTTTGAGTTCCTTATGAATTCTCAATATTAGTTCCTTGTTGGATGAATAGTTTGCAAATATTTTCTTCCATTCAACAGGTTTTCTCTTCATTCTGTTGATTGTTTCCTTGCTGTGTAGAAGTTTTTGAGTTTGATATAGTCCCATTTGTCTACGTTTGCTTCAGTTGTTTGTGTTTTTGAGGTTTTGACATAAAATCTTTGCCTAGACCAACGTCTTGAAGTGTTTTACCTATGATTTCTTCTAGTAGTTTTACAGTTTTGGGTCCTGCACTTAAGTCTTTCACCTATCTTGAGTATATTTTTATATATGGTGAAAGATGGGGTCCAATTTCATTCTTCTGCTTATGGATATCCAATTTTCCTACTGTCATTTATTAAACAGAATGTCCATTTTTCAGTGTTTCTTCTTGGAGCCTTTGTTGAAAATAAGTTGGTCATAAATATATGGAATTATTTTCTGGGTGCTCTATTCAGTTCCACTGGTCTATGTGTCAATTTTTATTAAAATACCAAGCTATTTTGGTTACTAGAGCCTTGCAGTATATTTTGCAAGGCTACAGGTAGTGTGATTTGTTCTTTTTGCTCAGTATTGTTTTGGCTATTGAGGCTCTTTTTTGATTCCACAAGAATTTTAGGATTTCTTTTTATATTTCTGTGAAAAAATGCCATTGGTATTTGATAGAGATTGCGTTGAGTCTGTACATTGCTTTGGGAAATATGATCATTTTAATGATATCAATTCTTTGAATCCATAAGCATGGGATGTCTTTCCATTTATTTATGTTTTCTTCAGTTTCTTTCATCAGTGCTTTGTAGTTTTTCTTGTAAAGATATTTTACCTCCTTGGTTAAATGTATTCCTAGGTATTTTTTATTTTTGTTGCTATTATAAATGGGATTGCCTTCTTGATTTCTTTTTCAGCTATTCTTTTATTGGTATGTAGAAACACTACTGATTTTCGTATGTTGACTTTTTACCCTGCAACTTTACTGAGTTTGCTTATCAGCTATAGAAATTTTTTGTAGAGTATTTTGGTTTTCCTAATATAAGATCATGTCATTTGCAAAGAGTGAAAATTCAACTTCCTCTTTTCTAATTCTGATGCCTTTTATTTCTTTCACTTGTCTAATTGCTCTGGCTAGGACCTCCAGTATTATATTGAATAGGAATGATGAATTTGGGCACCCTTGTCTTGTTCCAGTTTTTAAAGGAAAAGCTTTCAGCTTTTCCCAACTCAGTATGATGTTAGCTGTGGGTCTGTCATATACACCCTTCATTATTTTGAAATATGTTCCTTTTATGCATAGTTTGTTGATAGTTTTTATCACGAAAGAATATTGAGTTTTCTAAAGTACTTTTTCTACACTTATTGAGATGGTCATATGGTATTTGTCCTTCATTCCATTGATGTGATACATCATGTTCATTGATTTGTGTGTTTTAAGTCATCCTTGCCTCCTTGGTATAAATCTACTTGATCACATCTTTTTAACGTGCTGTTGAATTTTGTTTGCTAGTATTTTGTTGAGGATTGCTTGGGGATCTGGGTCTTCAAGATGGCTGACTAGAGACATTTCATACTTGCCTTCTCCACTAAGAAGAACCAAAACAGAGTAGGTAATCACATGTCAAATAGATCATCTAAGAGAATACTGAATTAAACAGAAAAGTGACAGGAAATACCTAAAGCAAGGAAGGAGAAGGAAGTGTGGCAACCTGGACAGCCAGATTGCCTTGGAGTCAAGAGAGACTCCTTAATAAGGGGAAAGAGTAAGTGATACACTCAGTAGTCCATATTCCCACTGTGAACTCCTGCAGTCCTAGCCATGAGAGAGCCCCTTGGCCCTCACAGGCCTTGAAACTAACATTGGAAATTGCCAGGAGATTGTGCAATGGCACTTCCCTAAGGAGGATGCTTGTTCTGGGTCCACACCCTCCCTGAGAGTTAAGCAGCTACAGCAAAGCACCATTTTAGAGCCCCACCCCCAATAGACTGTGAACTCTTTGGGGGCCCAGCAGTGTGGGGACTAAGGTGCAAGAGAAGCTGCTAACTCCAGGGCTTAGGTGCCAGGCTTAAATGTGAGTGATCACAGGTCTACTGCTCCTGGGGCAAAGGCAAGACCGAGGCACAGACTACTGCAGCAGCAACAGAGGTGCATTTGCCAATGGGGCTGAGGCATGAGTAGCATGTGAGCTCCCCACATGCCAGCCTAGGCCGCCATCACTGAAGGAAGCACCACTCTCTCCAGTGGCAGGGAGGCAGTGCAGCCACTGCTGCTTCCACCCAAGCATTATGCAGGTGTCCTGGGAATTGCTTCACCCCTGTTTACCATGGCTAGTGCCTGTTCACACCATCAGGAGTGCTGAAAACAAGTCCTCCCGCTCCTTGCCACTCCCCCCATGTCAGAGCACACAGTCTGGGAACGAGGAGATTGCCCAACCCGATCCACTACTATTGGTACTTCTTGCCCAACCCAATCCACCACTATTGGTACTTCTCCTGGGAGACTGAAGTTGGACTTAACTACCAGGCTGCTACCATTACAGCTGGCAACTACCTGTATGTGCCTCTTGTGTGCCTGGAGATTGCCCAGCCCAGCTCACTGCAGCCACTGCCAACACCAGTGCAGACCACTTGGACCCAGAGGACCATCCTGCCACTGACACTGCTAACTTCCAGACCACGCCATCTGCCCAGGGGCATAAGAACCCATCCACCAGGCTGACCCCTTGCTGCTACTACTGGCATTTGAGTAAGCCACCTGGAGGGCCAAGAATTAGCCTGCCTGGGCCCACTAACATTGGTGCCAGCACACACCACTCAGGGACCCAAGGACCAACATGCTTGGCCCACCACTGCCACCACTGGAGCCTAAAGACTAGCTCACCTGCCATTCTAGTCCCCAGCAAAACTTCTCCACATCCTCCATTAAGCCACCAAGAAAATTACAGATACCACTGACACTGTTTACAGCCAAAGAAATTACATAGAGACTACACTACTGCACACACTCAGAATCAAAGCCAAATGCTTTATTCAACTAACACCATAGATTCATCCTCAGGAAAAAGTCTTCTACAAAAGCAAATTCAAAAAATTGGAACAAGTGACTGTTACACCAGATGCACAGATATCAGTATAAGAGCAGGAAACATGAAAAAATAAGGAAATATGACACCTTCAAAGGAACGCAATTAGCTCTCCAGCAACGGATACCAATTAAAACGAAATACACAAAATCCTGAAAAGAAGGAATTCAGGTTATTGATGCTAAAGAAGCCCGGTGAGATACAAGAGAATGCTGCAAAACAATACAAAGAACTCAGAAAAAAACTGTTCAGACTATGAATGAGAAATCTGCCAAAAAAGACAGACATCATAAAAAAGAACCAAATAGAAATTCTGGAACTGAAGAATTCATTAAATAAAATATAAAATGTAATACATCCAAAAGCTTCAATAGGCTGGATCAAGCAGATGAAAGAATCTCAGAACTTGAAGACAGGCCTTTTGAAATAACACAGTCAGACAAAAATTTTAAAAAAGAATTAAAAAGAATGAGCAAAGCCTTGATGATATACAGAACACCATAAAGTGACCAAATATTCAAATAATCTTCTTTTTAAATCTCTAACCCCATCTCACCATCACTGTACACTACAGAACAGCCATATTTGCACCTCACCTGATAACTAGCAGAGCTCCAGGCACATGGCAAGTGCTCAATATATACTGGTGAATTCATGACTTCTCTCTCTTGATAATTCCTTTAGCCAGTTCCTAGTGAATTTTCCAAGTACATGTTCCTCATTCCTCCATGTGTTAGAGGTGGGGTGGTTAGGGAATGGGGACAGGCAGAAGGCTGACTTCAAAAGACCATTTAGAAAACGTCCCCATTTAGTCTGACCTAATCAGGTTACTCTTCAATTTCCCACAGAAAATTTCCTCCAATTTCCCCTTTCCATGGGGAAGGAAGAGTAAAGGAAAGGAGAGTGTGCTGGAGACCTCTAACCTGATACTGAAGCAGACAGGCAAGTGTCCTTTACTTATTGCAGTTTTCATTTTCTGGCATTTTTGGTGCCAGCATGCATGAGAGGGAGGGAGCATTTAGCAGAAAAGGCTGTCATTCTGACAAACAACTTGCAGCCAAGGCCACCTCTGGCTGTGTTCCATGCCAGACACACCAGGACAGCCAGGTGTGGACAAGGGGCCTGGATATGAAAGAAACACACTCTGCCCTGGAACTCCATTAGTAAGCTGAGGAATCAAGACTTACCTATGTTAAAATTACCTCAGAACATTCCTAACATAAGGTTTAAATTTTATTTTACTATATACAGTATAAACTCCACTTATACTGTTGACATTTGAATTTTTTCACAATTCCACAGAGTTAAAGTTGTTCTAAAATCTCATTCTAAAACTGGGGGAGAGAACATGGATATGGATGGCCTGGAGGCGCATCTCTAAAATTCAGTAAGGTTGGTCTTCCAGACTCCCAGGTTTCTGCTTCATGTGTCTTTTCCCACACTGCACAGCACCTTTGCAGCAACTTTAAAAGCCTCTGGGTTTCAGATTATTCTTGTCAAAACAAAAACAAAAACAAACAAACAAAAAACCATAGGATGATCTCAAAGAAAGTTCCTCCCAGGTCTGACTATGACTCCATGACTACTTGACTTTTAAACAGCCACAGATTTCTTTTTTTTTTTCTGTCAACATCCTTCCCAGTCACAAGCAAGGACAAATGTCTGATAATGTGTAAGCCCTCTGGGGAATTATTTCTTTAACAGAGATCATAGAAAAGAATCTGTTGTGGTGGGAGTTCTGGCATCAGCCAGTCAGACTGAGGAAGAATCTTTGGAGGCATGAAGTCCTTCTAAGGGCCCTAAGCCTCGGGTCATCTTCTTCTGTGCCCAGTAGCAGGACTGTGTCTGGCTCGTGGGGCAGGGCAACTCCTAGGGCTCAGATTTTTACCTTATCGGATGTTTCTATTCTTTATGTGTCTAAGTACATGGATTCCCTCACATAAAAAGTTGGATGAGTCATATGGAATCCCTAACTAGGAGGGAGATCAAGATATGGAAAGACATAGTAATAACTTATATATAGTAATACCTGCTATTGTATCCACAAATTGACCATGTGCTCACTGTATTAGGCTTTAAGCATATGTTGCTACCTTAATTCTCATAAATCCAGTAGAGAAGTGCTATTAGTCTCAATTTATAGGTGAGAAAACTGACCAAAGGTCAAAAATGTTAAGATGTGTCCAAGGTCACACCAACCAGTGGGTGGAGGTACTAGAATTGTTACCCGCTTGTTGCCTAGAGGTTTTGGGCTCCTCCTTGCAGTCTATGGCCATAGGAGTCCTGAGGCAGGAGAAGCTCAGCCAGAGGGAGCCATTTTACCCAGGGGAAGCCATTCTACAAGGAGAACTGTTCTACCCACAAGAAGCCATTCTACCCAGGTGGAACCATTCCAGGTGGAGCCATTCTACCCAGGCCACCCGGGTGGAACCATTCTACCCAGGGGGAGCCATTCTACCCGGGGGGAGCCATTTTACCCCAGCAGGGGGGGAGTGGGGGGGTGGGGGGGCGATAGGGTGGGGGGGCGTGGGGGTGGCGTGGGGGTGGGAGGGTGGGGGTAGGAAACTATTCTACCTAAGGGGAACCCTCCTAGTCAAGGGGAATTGTTCTACCCAGAGGGAGCCATTCTATCCAGAGGGAGCCATTTTATTCAGAGAAAGCCATTCCATCTGGTGGGGATGTGAGAGGACTAACAAGCACGAGGCTGTTGCCCACCCAACTGGGGGTTTCACGTCCCTCCCATCTTCGTCTCCTGGAACCAAGAGGACTTAGAGCATAAACAGAGCCTCCTTCCGCCAAGGGAACACTGGCTCAGATGACTTTTTGTTAAAGTGGGTGTGTATTTTTGGAAATGTTCTGGAGCATAAGTGCATAAAACGCTGGGTCAGACAGTGCCTGGGGCTGTGCGTAGGGAGGAGACTGGGCACTCCAAAGAACGCTGGAGCAGCAGCTTCAAAAAGTGGTTTGATATTTTTTCCTCCTGATTTTGATCTTAAAAATGTCTGGAGCCCCAGACAGCCACCGGCAGCTTTGTGCAACAGGGGCTCTAACCACCACGACCTCAACAGCCACACTGCAAAGGCTTCTAGTTAACAGAACTCTTTTGTGTGATGGAAAGCGAGGGAAAGCGTGAGAGACAGGAAAACGCTGGGGTTGACAGAGACAGCTGGTTTCTGTGGCAAGGCTTCAGAATTGTCAATGGAAAAACACAGTGGAGACAGCGAGAAATGCTGAGGCGCTCTGTGTGATCCTGGAAGCATGTTCCTTCGGCTGGCCCTGACGGAGCCAGTTTTCTTCTTTCTGGACTGAGAAAGCAGATAACTCAGCTCCTGATCTCTCAATTGCTCTGTCTTTGACCAGTGACAAGATGGCATTGATGAGTTCCCGAAGGAGTCTGACTCCTCTTGGATGAATTTTTTTAAATTCTGTTTCTTGCTTCTTCTTTTCCGAGTAGTTTTTCATGAGCAGAGATGGCAGGAGCAGACATCGTGGTTATCCAGCCACCATTTGATCACGTTGTGGTCCCCATTTGAGTGACACCCAAAGGACATGAATTATGCTAAGTGTTTGGGGCTGCTGGGCACCCCTTTGCCAAGGAAAGCACTCAGCCCCAGGTCTGAGAGAGTTGTGGCAGCCACTCATGCCATGGATTTCAAAGATGCTAGGTTGGGTTTACTACCATCGCCCCAAACCCAACTTTCCAGCCTTTTCTACCCCTACACACACACATATTCACACACATACACACACACACACACTCTCTCTCTATATATATATACACACATACACATATATATATACACATTGTGTGTATATATATATATTTACACATATGTGTGTGTGTATGTGTGTGTGTATATATATATATATATATATATATATATATATATATATATATATATATTGGCCTGCCTGGGCCCACTGCCCACTAACATTGGTGCCAGCATACACCACTCTGGGGCCATTATATATATATGTGTGTGTGTGTGTGTGTGTGTGTGTATATATATGTGTGTGTGTGTGTATATATATATATATACACACACACATATATAGTGACAATTCTGAATATATATTTTTTATATATATATATATATATATATATATATATATATATATATATATATGGTGTGTGTATGTGTGTGTGTGTGTGCATTCACAGAGCCAAACATCGATCCCACATGCCTGAAATTTAGTTTTGAACTCTCCTATTCAAATTGTTTCCTAATGCAACATGGAAACAAGGATACATTTGAAAAGCAAAAAAGACTGGAAGGAAACTGTTACTAAAATATTAAGAATGGTTGTGTCTGGATGGAAGAATATAAAATGATATCCTTCCTATATTAATTTTATGTTATAAAATTTTTATGAGAATATATTTTTTTTAAATGAGGGACATTTAGATTTCTTAAATATAGAAAATCCAATAAGGGTAATATGTTCAGACCTTACCAAGTCTTGAATTTGAGAACTCTCTGGGGGAAAGGCCCTATAAAAAGTGATAAGCGTCATGTGCTTTTGGGGAGCGGAAATGTCCAGGGAGGTGAAGACGTGCTGAAAGGGGTTGTAGCAAGACCACAAGGGTGTATTTGATATTTTGAAATAAATTTTCTGGAGTCAGTCCCTGGCTTTAGTGTCTTTATCTGTAAAGTGAAAGCACTGCATTAAATGATCATGAAAATAGTTTGTAATGTACAATAACTAGAGTTTTGTCAGCCTTTAGTGTCCTGGGAGTTCTCAACTTCCTTTTATCCTCTCTTTTCTGTCTCTCTGTTTGGAATCTAGAGGGCAGTTCTAAGACCTTTAGATGAAAATCACAACTTTTCTAGTACAACAGCATCACAAGGGAACTTAGGGCTTACTCATAAGGATACTGTAGATCTAAATGAGGCACCCAGAGCTCACTAAGGCTATCTATCTGCCTGACCCTCAATAACAATGAGTCCCTATCATGACAACACCTATATTGCCACCCCTCACATGTCTGTGTAGGAGGGTATCACACAAAAGCTTCACAGTCACTTTTCAGATTTCAGAATCTAGGAAGATAAGAGAGGGTGGTGATGAAATCAGGGGCTTTATAATTAATCAAATGTGAGTCTGAACCCCAACCCTGCCTCTTCTCAGCTTTGTGATATTAAGGATGTTATTCAACCTCTCTGGTCCTCCATTTTCTCTCACTCAAAACATAGATACTGATACCTCACTTATAACTCTATTGGAGGTGTATTTAAGAAGACAAAGTGTTTGGCATATGGCAGGTGTTAGATATCTTCCCTCTTCCTCATAACTTAATTTCTTATTGGTTCCACAAAATCTCATTTTCTCTTGCCCTAACTTCAGGAGAAACTGGGAAACAACACATTGTTTCCCGGGGGCAAAATAGTTTTATTATTCTCAAATTCGAGCCCCATACATCAGTACCAACTATCAGAATTGACATCCAACTCCCAAAACTCCAAGAAACACCTGCCCCAGAAATCCTGATTTTTCCACTTCATTTCTTCTGTCTCTAAATTATCTACACCCACACACAAACACACCCCCCCAACACACACACATCCCTCAATCATATCCACTCTTCTCCACACAAGATTGACTAAATATCCAAAGATATGCCCTGATCTTTCACCACCAGCTAAATGTCTTTAGATGTTACTACTTTGATTATAAACCCTGCCTTCTCTTCGTATTATCTCGGATGCCAACCCCATGAGACACATTAAATACATAATGCATTTTGACTTGCATCTGGGCTATGCTGTCTGGTGTGGGGAGGTTACAGCAGAAGCATATGCCTGCTTCTTAAAATTCAATTATTCAAATTCAATTTCTTCTCTTTCTCCCAGTCCTCACCAGCATGTAGCCCCTGACTTTTCATTAGATCACTCAAACACCAGCACTGGAGCCAGAAGTTTCTGTCTTCCATTTAATTTGATTCGGCGGATGTTCGCCATTGTTGTAGCTGTTACTTTGCACTGTTCTAGGCACTGAGGGCCCAAAGATGTAGAAGACAGAACAGCAACCCTTAATAAGTTCATGTCCTGGTAGATAGAGAAATGCATCTATATTTAACCCCAATAGTGTGTGACAAGAGCAATTTAAGTATAAAAGATAAAATAATATGAGAGTGCAAAAGGATAAAGCAATTAATTATTTCACTATGGGAGTAAGGAATCAGATAAGATCTCATAACTACAATATGGGTGGCAAAGCACCATATGCTCACCGGAAATGAAGATTAGAGTCAACCAAAGCAGAATTAGGGTGCCAAATATTGTTCTAAGCTCAGGCGGGGACTCCTGGGTTTAGTAAGAATAGGAAAATCACAAATTTCTTTTATTTCAGAAGAACTGCCCACCAGCAACTGATAACCTTTCTCAGCTCCATTCCCCAGCTCATGCTATTCCTTTTGCCCCTGTAAACATTGACCTCACCCCTCTTTACCATCTGAAACCCCATTCCCTTTGCCCCTGTATGCATTGACCTCACCCCCTCTTTACCATCTGAAACCCCATTTATCCTTTTTCCAGTACCACCTTCTTTGTAGATTTCTCACCCGACAGAATTAATTGCACTTCCCCTATCATTTTGGTTTCATTTTTGCTTTTTACTATTTGCTCCCATAGCATTTTTGGGCTCAACTCTAGTACCATTCATTAGTGACTGCTTTATATTGTAGATTGTGTAATCTTGAGAATAGAAAGCATATTTTATTTGTATTTGTATTCTCTTGCAGTAACTCACAAGTGCTTAGCACATCATAGACACTAAATAAATGTTCTTTGCATTGAAAAGTCAGTGGCAAATATAAACCCAGTAGAAAATATATAATGAGATACTAAGTATGTTTTTGGCCAAATTACAATGGGGAGTATTCACTACTTTTCTAAGCTACAGAAACCTTTATCCAATTGCCTGTTCAAAATCCTCTTGGCTATCTCAAAGTTACCTCACACTGAACTCATTAATATCTCCCTGGGCACTCTCAATTGGTCCTTTTCCAGTCTTCCCTATTTCTGTGAAGAGCACCATGGTTCATGCAATTGTACTAAACAGAAACCTAGGGGTAATTTTTGATAACTCTCTCCCTCTCCCATCATGTTATATCCTCTTGGTTTTGCTTCTCAAATATCTTTCAATTTCCGTCTCTAAAGCCACTACCCTCTTGCAAGGGTCCATTGGCTCCCGCCTGGAATACTGTGACAGTCTTCACTGGTCTCCCTGCGTTTCCCTCTGCACCTTCCAATCCATTCCAAAATACAAATCACATGCTACCTATACCTTTCAACCTTTTAATCACTTCCCACTGTTCCAGGGTAAAGAATGAAACCTCTCTACGGACTTTAAGACCTTGCATGGTCTTGTCTAGCCGTAGGCAAACTTTTTCCGTAAAGGGCGTAACAGTAAATATTGCAGGCTTTTGGGGTCAGGCAGCCTCTGTTGGAACTACTCACCTCTGCCATTGTAACTCAAAAGCAGCCGTAGACAATACAGAAACAAATGAGCATGGCTGTATTCCAATGAGACTTTATTTATAAAAATAGACAGCAGGCTGGATCTAACCTGGTGGCCACGGTTTGTGGACCTCTGGCCTAATCCATGCCTCCAGCTTTGTCTCTCTCAACTTTCCCCTCTGCCCTCTGTGCTCCAACCACACTGGACTTTTGCTTCCATGATTTCACCCCTCCTGCCACAGGCCTTTGCTCAGGCTGGTCGTCTATCTGTCACGCTTCCATTCTCCTTCTCTTTCCCTTTACCAACTTAACTTCGACTTTTCCTTCAAGTCTCACCTAGCTATGACCTCTTCAGGGGAACATGTCTTGACACTCCAACTAAGTGAAGATGCCAGCTCAATGCTCTAAAACCATTCCAGCCTTTCCCTTCACAGAACTCACTGCAATTTGTAAATACATAGGTATTTGTGGGGTTGTTTCAGTCTGACCTTTTCCACTCGACTGTCAGTTCCATAAAGTCAAGTCTTCATCATTTGGCCCAGTACCTTCCTGACACAGTACCTGACAGAGAGTAGGGATTGTTGATGAAAGAATAAATGGGTGAAAAAACACCAAAGACTGAATGCATGGATACAAAAAAGGGATAGATGAAGTACTGAATGTGGTTGCTGTATTAAGGGAGAAATTGGACATTGTTACCAACTTTCCCAGGAGAACTGTGTCACTATATCTCAAAATGCTTATAAATGTACATATCATTTGACTTAGCAATTCTACTTATTGGAATTTCCTTAAGGAAACAGCCATAGATGTATATAAAGATTTACATACAGATATTTTCCTCATACCGTAATAACCAACTAATTGAAACACATTGTAAATCTTCTAAATGTCCAAAAAGTTATAGAAAATAAGTTAAGTAAATTCATCAATTGAAGCCATTTACTATGCAGATGGTAGTAATAATCTTTTAAAATCATGTTCATGGAGCACAGAAGATTTTTAGGGCAGCTAAACTATTCTGTAAGATACCAAAATGGTGGATATGTGTCATTATACATTCATTCAAACCCATAGAATGTACAGCACCAACAGTGAACTCTAATGTAAACTGTGGACATTGAGTGGCAATGATATGTCAATGTAGGTTTACCAATTATAGCAAATTTACCACTCTAGTTGGGGGATATTGATAACAGGGGAGGCTGTGTGTGTGTGAGGACACGACGTACATTGGAGCTGTCTGTATCTTGCATTCAATTTTGCTGTAAACCTAAAATTTCTCTAAAAATAAAGTCTATCAAAACATATAATAAAAAATAAAAATAAATCATATTTAATGATTTGAAAAAAATGATCACAATATATCATTCAGTCAAGGCTGACTATATAGTTCACAGGGCCCAGTGGAAAATGAAAATGACGGGCCCCTAAACAGAAAAAAGTATCTTTCCTTTCTTCCGTGGTCTCTCATTTGACTTGACATGAAATTATTAATTTGCTATTTAATGTTGTTAAGTAAATAAAATTTTAGAATTTAATTTATTAGCATGAATTGTACCATTCATCTTTCTGTTGTGTGGTGCAAGTTTAAAATGTAAATAAAACCATTTCTTTTTTAGAATCACCAAAATTATACAATTTCTACTTTGAAATTCTCATATACATATGTATTTCTCTCTTGCCAGAACATGGAAATGAGTTCACAAAGTAAACTCAACTGTTTTTATTTCACTTCTTGATGTACCCACAGTCTACCGGCACCCTCTACCTTTGGCTTACTGAAGAGTAAGGAAGAACTGAGAGGAAAGGAATTACAGGTTGCCCTATTTTTCCTTCTATGTCATCATTTCAAGTGCTTGGCTAATACAGGGAGGTAACCTGTGTAAGAAAGGATATGATAAGTTTTCTTGGTCCTTCATGTTTCTTAAAACACCATTGTCTTCTCTCTGCATTAGAAGCAAGCTCTGGTTCAAGTGGAAAGCACAGTCCCTCAGGATGGTGAGCATTCAGTTATAGATATAACATGCTTACCTCATGCTTGCTTTCAGTATCATAAAGTCCCTTTCGTTGTGGACCCATCGGAATTCTGTGCTCATGGAGCACTGTGAACACTGTATGCAAATGAGGCATCAAGAACAGGAGCCACCCATATTGCGTGCATCTCCTCCACTCCCATCGGACAACACACAGGTCCAAAGATAAAAGTAAGTATTTCATGATGGCAACAGCAGAGCATTAAACCAAGCACAGGCCACATGCTCATGAAGTTAGCCTGAGTTAAATGGAAAATAATACAGTTTGATTTCATTTTTGCTTTGAAAACACACACATACACACATAAACACACACACACGAATGCACACAGGAAATTTTAAAGACTGGAAGGATATACACTGAAATATCAATATTAGCTATTTCCAGGTTTTATAAATGACTTCTATTTTTTTGCTTTGTGTTCTGCTGTGCTTTCAAAATAAACTTGTAGTAAACCTGTCTACTTGTAATAATAAAAAATAGTTTGTTTATAAGACTGTTGCTTGGGAAGCCATCCCTTTATGCAGTTACAGTAAGAAGAATGTCAGATGGCCGAACAGGCCCTCCTCAACGTGCATCCTCAGGGCAAGCCAATTTCATTTCATTTCACCACTTGGAAGCGCTCTTTTTCCCCAACCCCACCAGGATGGCGAGAGAGAGGGTGCCAGATGGTGGAGTGGCTTTGTAGTCCTTTTAAGATAGCTTCATCTATTGTTGGGACAGTTTAAGCACTCAAAGTTGTGTCACCTTCTAGTCTTTGCCAATAATGTTATCATTTGATATGGAAACGATGCATACCATTAAAATGGTAATTTGATTTTTAAATGTGCTTCAGCAGCCAGCGCGCCCTGACTGAAGTATTTATCCTGTTTTTCCAAACCCTTTCTTCTTGAGCCACAGTAAGCGAGCTGCATGGATTAAGTTCAAGTGTGTGATATATCTTCTTCATCCTTTTGTTTGTTTGTTTGTTTATTTTATGAATGGGACAGGTTTGGCAAATATTCCTTCCCTAGAGGAAGCCAGGAAGTGAACTCTGGTTGTTCAGATTTTACTACCTGCCATACTGTCTTATTCATCAGGTATATCCAAGGCACCTCTCACAACTTGCAATATAGTAGATGCTCAGTAAATCTCTATTAAATGAACAAATGGTGTGGCTTGCATAAGTGAATAAAGTCAGTAATTCACTTAGAAAGCATACCTATCTAAAATTTCTCCATTACAGTCCCAGAGGCAGAACTGAATTTAATTAGAGACAACATAGAAAATGACATACATGGTGGCATCTGAGCAATAGGGCCACTCAACTCAAAAATTTTCTACCAAGGTGCCTAGAATTCCACCAAAAGATATGCATTCCTTTGGGTTAAATCACTTCTGAAGTCTCCTTTTGAAATTCAAAATCCTCAGGAGAAAACACCATATTAACCCTTTATTGTCCGGTACAGTTGAGCTTACCAGTTAACTAGTGTTTACTTAGGACTCTAGAGAGCGAGGTCTGTGACTATATCTGGATGAGAAGGAGGGGTCAGGCATCCATGGTGGTGCTATACAAGGCAGATATATATATATAGTCTAGGAGAGCCAGAAAGTAGCACGAACACTCTGTGGGGCTAGAAAAGAGAAAGGCGGAAGTTAATTAAGGAGTCATATGAAGAAAGAAAGATGTTGAGGAAAAGAGAGATTAAGTGAATTTAAATAAATTTCACCTATTTAAAATTTTCCCTTGGGCTGGCTTTCCTTTCTATTAATTCCTTCTGGTGATGCCCCAATGCTGGCTGGCCATTCACAAAGCTCCTGACCTTTTAAGTAAATGCATCCCATTTATTCTATGTTTAGTGTCTGAAAGGGATGGTGGAAGAGGTTGATAATGGGATGGTTAAAGGAATTAAACACTTGTAGAGTTTTAACCCAGACCATCAAAATGCAGTCTTGATCTAGGCATTCAAAGTGGGTATTAAGTTCAAGATCTGACTCTGGAGATTTCCAGAATGAAACAAGAGGGAAAATGGGACAGCAGAGAACAGAACTAAATGAAATGGATTGGAATTGAAAGGAGTGGTGTTCAATTCTTACAAGGAGAATATAAAATTTCAGCCGTGTCACTAGCTCACGATCTCATCAGTTAGTTGAAAGAATTAAGTATCTTTGAGAATAAATCTTAGAGAAGAATCCATTTAAAAAAAAGAAGATGATGAATTAGCTGTATAAAAGATTTAGGTTCAGGAAAATCTAGGTTATTAGTGGATGTTGGCCATGGGGAGATTAAATAATGTTCCTCTCCTTCAATTTGTGTTTGTTTAATGCAGAAATTGGCTGGGCAGCATTACTAAGCCTTCGTGATAAAGAGAAGTTTGAATTCCAAGAAACATGTCACCCACCTTCTCCAGTCCATGTTCCTGCCAACCCTAGTTCAGCATCCAAATTTGTGAGAGGTGAAAAAAAAATGAAAAGTATGAAAACGTGATGTAATTTTCTTCCTTGTTTAATTATGAAAAGGTTGCTTTACTCTCCTTCCTTTCTACATTGTGAGCCTTTAGGGAGGAGTAAGACATTTTCAACCTGCTTACCCAAGCCATTATCAGAGTAGATTAGAGCTAGCAACCTTGCATGCAAATGGACCAACTTGACAAAAAAAAAAAAAATTGGAATTTAGATAGCAACAAATAAACTGTATTGAAGGCTAATTTCAATGCTTTGCCCTTGCATTGATGGAGCTGAAACTAGGACAGAGTTATTGAGTTGTTTAGCTGCATTCTCTCTCCTTTAGGACTTATTATACACGACTCCTCTCTCTCAATCCTCATCTGCCCTCCATGCACAAACACACCTGCCCCAGCACAGATTCTCTGTCTACTTAAAGCTAACAGTTACCATCACTCCACAGATGTCATATGATCAAATAACTCTGCTTATGACTTCAGGGCACAGCCAGATACCATAGGGTACTTGTTGGAACAAGCCATCTCTTAGTCACATATTTCTCACCTGCATGCCTTTCAGGAAATACCCCAGGCATTTATTTTCCAGATGAATTATATCTGTCATTCTCACCAATTTCTTTCTATATCCCCTCAACTCTCGCCAACTCCTTGTCTACATCTCTGAAGACAGCTTGTAGCAAAAATGCACAGCCAGCAAAATTTGCCTTTGGGCTGTCTTGTTTGTTCCTCCACCATGTCCCCATTCTTGGTGTCCTCTCAATCCTTCCAATCTACAAATATGGCTTTTCCTTTTGTGTGTGTGTCCTCTTCAATTTCATTCATTGGTGTTTTATAGTTTTCATTCCAAGATCTTTCACTTCTTCGGTTGTTTTTCCTACTTATTTTTTTGTAGCTATTGTACATTAGCGCACTTTCTGGGTTTCTTTTTCAGGTTGTTCACTGTTGGCATATAAGAAGGCTATTGATTTTGTATGTTGATTTTGTATCCTGCAACTTTACTTAACTGTTTATCTGTCCTAAGAGTTTTCTGATGAAGTCTTGAGGTTTTCCCATATAGAAGATCACATCATCTTCAAAGATGATTTGACTTTCTTATTTTCCATTGAAGAATGCCCTTTAGATTGAATATGACCAGTTGCAGTAAGTTTAAGCCAGTTTTCAACTGGCCAAAATTGGTTTTGCATAGCTATGACAGGACACAACCAGTTTAGACTGGTTCTGACCATAGCTATGACAGGCCACAACCAGTTTAGACTGGTTCTGACCATCTGTAATTGGTTTTGGCTGGTTTGGGCCAACCTCAACCTGTTCATACCAGTTCTGCCAGGTTATGGCTGGTTCTGATAGGCTTAGACCAATTACACCTGGTCACAACTGGTTTAGACTAGTTATGACTGCCACAGCCACTTTAGACTGGCTATGGCTGGCCTCAACCAGTTTTGCCCAGCTTTGTCTGCCTATACTTGGTTTACACCAGTTCAGACTGATTATGGCCTGTTCCAACCAAATCAGTCCTGTTTCAACTGGCCACAACCACGTTAGACCTTCTCTTACGAGGTGCAATTAGTTTAGTGTCATATGGAACTGGGAAAACCTGAGATACGGAACAAGCCAAAAATGCCCACTTTCACTACTTTTTTTCAACATAGTACTGTAAGTCCTAGCCAGAGCAATTGGATAAGAAAAAGACATAAAGGGCATATAAACTGGAAATAATAAAGTCAAATTATTCTTGATTGAAGATTACATTATCTTATATATGGACAAACCTAAAGACTCCATCAAAAAATTCTCATAACAGATACACAAATTCAGTAAAACTGCAAGATAAAAAATCAACATACAAAAATCAATAGCCTTCCTATATGCCAACAGTGAACAATCTGAAAAAGAAAACCAAGAAAGTGCTCTAATGTACAATAGCTACGAAAAAGAAGTAGGAATCAATTCAACCAAAGAGGTGAAAAATCTCTAGAATGAAAACTATAAAACACCAGTGAAAGAAATTGAAGGGGACACACACAAAAAAGGGGAAAGATATTCCATGTTTACATATTGGAAGAATCAGTATTGTTAAATGTTCATATTACTCAAAGTGTTCTATAGATTCAGTGCAATCCCTATCAAAATATCAGTAATATTCCTCACAGAAATAGAAACAATAATCCTAAAACTAATACGGAGCCACAAAAGACCCATAATAGCCAAAGCATTCTTAAGTAAAAAGAACAAAGTTGGAGGCATCACACTACCAGACTTCAAAATGTACTATAAAGTTATAATAGCCAAAACAGCATGGTAGTGGCACAAAAAAATAAACATAGAGGTCCCGGCGCCACTCGGCCCAGAGGGACCGGTCCACGGACTGGACCGCCGGGACCACCCGGCCCGGCCCGGCCCCTGCCTGCGCCTCTCCGCGCCGCCCTGCGCCCCGCCCGCGAGGCCGGGCCGAGCAGCCAGGTGCGGCGGGTAGGGGATGCCGTGGGCGGGGCCCAACGGAGCGGACGGAAGCACGGGGCGCGGGGCTGGACCCCCGGACACCCCGTCCCGCGCCCCCACCCCCTGTAGGCGCCGCGCAGCACCTACCTGCGCCCTCCCGGACCCCGCGCGCTCGGCGCCGGTGGGGGCTTCTCAGGTGACCGCGGGGCCGGGGTCGCGGGCTGGGCCCTCCCGGCTGACAGCAGCGCCCGTGCCCCGCGCCGGATTGGGGGCCGAGGCCGGGGCCAGGGTTGGCCGGAGCGCGGAAGGTTGGGGAGGAGAGGCAGGCCGCCCAGCCTACGGGTACCCGGTTCCAGCGCGCGCGGGAGGCTTGCAGAGGCGGCCGAAGGCCTAGTGACAGGCGCGCGGCGCAGACCCCGGAAGCCCACTTGTCAGAATTACCGGTCAGCTGGGCCGGCGCCGCCGGGGTCTGGGGTGGTCCCACGAGTCTGCACGTTGCTCCGGGACCCAGGGGCTGCGCCCAGAAAAGTCATTTTTCTTCTCTGGGAGGGTGACCATTTATAGCATTGATTTCCCAGATTTAGTAACATGGCAAAAGTTGCTGGTCTAATTGAAGCAAACGGAGAACTCAAGGTCTTCATAGACCAGAACCTTAGTCCCGGAAAAGGCATTGGTGTCCCTCATAGCCGTTCACCCCTCCATCGTCAGCCCGCTCGGGAAACAGCTCTTGCCGAAAACCTTTGGACAGTCCAATGTCAACGTTGTCCCGCAAGTGGTAACCGGTACGCCTCAGAGACCGGCAGCGTCAAACACCCTCGTGATAGGTAGCCCACACACCGCCAGCACTCACTTTGCCTCTCAGAACCAGCCTTCCGACTCCTCACCTTGGTCTGCCGGGAAGTGCAACAGGAAAGGAGAGAAGAATGGCAAGGCCTGTGGCATTTCTCCAGGAAGGTCTGAGACAAGGTGCAGTGGAAAGGGACCACTTCCTATCACGAGGTGGCGGACGAGCTGGCAGAGGAATTCAGTGCTGCCGGCAACCACATCTTACCAAACGAGTCAGCTTATGACCAGAGCAACATCGATGGCGCGTCTACTATGCCTTAAACGTGCTGATGGCCATGAACATCTCCAAGGAGAAGAAGGAGATCAAGTGAGTTGGTCTGCCCACCAACTCGGCTCAGGAATGTCAGAACTTAGAGGTGGAAAGACAGAGGAAACTTGACAGAATAAAACAGAAAATCTCAATTTCAGAAACTTATTCGACAGCAAATTGCCTTCAAGAACCTGGTGAAGAGAGAAACCAGCACGCGGAGCAGCAGGCCAGCCGGCCAACGACGCCCAGCTGGCTCATCCACCTGCCCTTCATCATCGTTAACACCAGCAAGACCGTCATCGACTGCAGCAGCATCTCCAACGACAAATTCGAGTATCTGTTTAATTTTGACAACACATCTGAAATCTACAATGACATAGAAGTGCTGAAGCGGATGAGCATGGCTTGTGGGCTGGAGTCCGGGAGCTGCTCTGCCGAAGACCTTAAAATGGCCAGAAGTCTGGTCCCAAAGGCTCTGGAGCCGTACGTGACAGAAATGGCTCAGGGAACTGGTGGAGGCGTGTTCATCACGACGGCACGTTCCATGTCTAACGGCAAGAAGCTCTCTGCCAGTGACCTGACCAATGGTGTGGATGAGATACTGGCCACAAGCTCCAACCTCAGTACAATGGCTCCAGGGTGGAGACCCCGGTGTCCTACGTCGGGAAGGATGACGAGGAGGACGACTTCAACGAGAACAACAAGGACGACTGACGTCCTCTCCACTTCACATTCAGCTTCAGGAAAATGTTTAGGGAAAATAAACTTTTTTTTTTCAATGTGGGTTTTCTGTTTCCTTTAGGCCTACTCCTAAGAAGATATTGGTAAGCCATTGAATTTAGATATGCACCTCCGATAAGCAAGGATTGTTTACCGTGGGAGTAGGACGTGCTGTGGATCTATGTTTTGATACCAGTGTGCTGATGCCCAGCATTTATTTACTTTTTAGGATTTTGTGTTTTCATTTTCTGTTTTTAAGTGCAGACTTAATTTTTGCCCCTTAACAGTTTTTGCTGAGTTTGCTGAAGAAATTGTATTTCATCCACATACATGAAAATAAAACGCCCTCCTGTTGTGGATGGTGAGCACCGAATGCCGTTTATTTGTCGTGAGTTTGGACAGCACCCACGCTGGCTGATAGTGAGACTCTGCGGAGTTGTCCATTTGTTCAGTGGTACGGTGTCCAAGAACCCCAAGCAAACAGCAGAATTCGACTTTCTAAACAATAAACACCATCAACCTTACTGACTTTATTCTCCCTTAAATTATATTGACTGTTGTGATTCCATCAAGTTTATACACTTTCTCTATTTTGCAGCAACAAATTGCAAAGTGCTTTTGTTTGTTTTTGTTTGGTTTGGTTAAAGCTTATTGCCACACTGGTGCAGCTATGGAGACTGTCTGGAAGGCTTGGGATGGTTTATTGCTTATGGTAAAATTTGCCTGATTTCTTACAGGCAGCGTTTGGAAACCTTTTATTATATAGTTGTTTACATACTTACAAGTCTATCATTTAAAGACATGTACTGAAACAAATGTTGTATTTGTTTCATAAGCATCTTCCTGTAATCTATTATAAAATTGAAATTAAATATAGGGAATGTTTTAACAATTTTTAACTCAAAATTTGTCATTTTTAATAGTTCTTTTTTTATAAAAAGAAAAAAGGAATTTAAGGACAGGCAGTAGTCTTTTAAAATTTATTCACAAAATCTATTAACTGCACGGTTGCTATTAGCTGCCTGTTCTAAAATGAGTCTTTTTATTGAAACAAACTTTTCTGTAATATTTTATGGAATATAAAGAGACTTTAATTGTTTGACTTGTTTACCTTGGCGCTGTTGGTTTTTATTAATGAAACGTGCATGGGCATCTAAAAAAAGATAAAAAAAAAAAAAACATAGAGAACCCAGAAATAAATTCGCAAATATACTGTTAACTCATTTTCAACAAAGGCATCAATAACATACATTGGGAAAAGGATAGTCTCTTCAATGAATAGTACTGGGAAAACTGGATATGCTTATGCAGAAGAATGAAACTAGACTCCTATTTCTTGCCATATAAACAAATCAAAATGGATTAAGGATGTAAATTTAAGACCTAAAACTATGCAACTACTAGAATAAAACATTGGAGAAACACTCTAGAATATTGTTCTGGACACAGATTTCTGGAGTAAGACCTCAAAAACACAGGCAACAAAAGCAAAATTTGACAAACAGAATCACATCAAGCAAAAAAGCTTCTGCACAGGGAAGAAACAACAAAGCCAGTTTCAACTGCTTTAAACATTGAGCAAGGACTTGAGTAGCCATTTCTACAAAAACAATTTGTAAATGTCCAAGAAGCACATGAAAATATGTTCAGCATCGTTACTCACAAGGTATAGGCAAATCAAAACCATAATTCACGAGTTTATTTTTAATTTGAGGACCTCCAATAATCTATGGTTTGCTGTTCATCATGTGCTGCTACTGTTCTATGAACAGTCATGAGCAGTCAGCGCTGGACACTGCTGTTTACCCCTGAACACTGCCCATCATAACCAGGTGAAGCCAGACATAATGAGTCAAAACCAGGAGAAACTAGCTAAAAGCTAGTCTAAACTGGCCGAGATCGGCTTCAACCAGTTGTGACTGGCCCCAGCCTGTTTATACCAGTTCTTTCTGGTCTAGGCTATTTCCAACTGATTTAGATGAGTTTTAACTGGCCACAAATGATTTAGACTGACTATAACTGGCTACAATCTGTTTAGACTGGTTTCTTCTGGCCACAATTAGTTTGGATTGGTTATGACCGACCATGACATGTTTAGACAGATTGAACATGGAACAACTGGTTTAGGCTGGTTTATACCAGCCACAGTTAATTTTGGCCATTTCTGACTGGTCTTGGTCTGTTCCAAATGGTTTAGACCCGTTTTGACTGTCCCAAACTAGTTTGGACCTATTATGACCAGCCACAACTGGTTTAGACTGGTTTTAATAGGGTATAACTGGTTTAGGCCAATTTTCAGTGGCCACAGTTTGTGTTTCTCACTGGTCGTGGTTTTTTACAACCAGTTTTGACTGATTTCAATAGGCCACAATAAGTTCAAACCAGTTCTGACTGGCTGCAGACAATTTAAGCTGGTTGTGGCTGGTCACAACTTATTTTAATTGGCCACAACTGTTTTAGAACACCTATGCCCAGCCTCAGTTTTGACTCATTACTCATTTTGACCAGCTGCAATTGGTTTATGCCTGTTCTGACTGGTCATGGCTGATTCTGACCAGTTTAGACTAGTTTCAACCAGTTTAGGCTGCCTCTGATCAGCTGCAGTTGGTTTTGACTGATTTTGACCTGCCATAATTTGCCTGAACCAGCTATGATTGGCTGTGACTGGTTTAAACCCTGCCTAGACCATCCACAACCAGTTTTGGTGGGTTTCAATCAGTCATTGATGATTCTAACCAATTTCAACTGGCCACAACTGCGTTAGACCACTTTTGACCAGCTGCAAAATATTGATGCTGGTTTCAGCTAGGCTCAACTGTGACTTGTTACAACCAGTTTAAACTGGTTCTGATTGATCATGGCAGGCTCTTACCGTTTTGACTGGTTATAACTAGCCACAAATGGTTTAGACCAGTTCTGACTGGCTGCAGCTGGTTTAGGCCAGTATTAAGTGGCCCACAACACCAGTTTCTAATGGTTATTGAAAGGCATGACCAGTTTAGAGTGGTTTGAACTGGGCACAACAGATTTATGCTGGTTCTGATCCATTACTGCCTGTTCCAATTTATTTTGACCAATTTTAATGGGTCACAGCTGCTTTACACTGGCTATGGCCGAACCTAACTGGTTTCAACTGATTTTGACCAGCTACAATCAGTCTATGCTGGTTCTGACTAGTCATGGTTGGTCCCAATCAATTTGGAGTAGTTTCAACTGATTGCAATCAGTTTAAATTTAGGCTGTGATGGCCCAACTAGTTTAGGCCAGTATTGACTGGCCACAGTGGGTTTGGATTGGCCTTTTCAAAACCTGATCTGGAAAGGACCCATGCTGGTTAATTATTCATTAGTGTGATTGCTTTTATCTCAGACATTTGGGTTTAAAGCCCAATGAGAAGTCTTCCTTTTGTACCCTCAAGGACCTTTCTAGTGCTAGTGATGGGATGGAGAGGAGAGGTTCTCTAGGACTCTGAATTATACCTCCCTAGGTAAGTTTCTCCAGGTATGGTGTGAGGACCCTGAGCATCAAAATTACCTAACACACTGATTAAATAAGCAACTGGACTGCTTCTCCCCCGCCAACCCCCAAACACTACTGAATAGGACTTGTTGGGGTGAGCACAGAAATCTATCATTTACTAAAACCTCCTGATGATACTGAAGCCCAACAAGGTCTGTAAACTTATCCTGGGACAATCAGTGTAAAACACTGTGCTTGCCTAGCTCTTTAACTCCCTTCTTGGTTACCCAGCCCTATTTCCACATTTTCCAAATGGGAAATTGTCCCAGAGCCACTGTGTGACTTACCAAAGATCAAACAATTGGTTAGCACAAGAGAGAGCATTGGAAAGCAAGCTTTCAGATTCCAAAACCAGGATTTTGCACCTCAAACTTAGTTTAGGGAGGGTGACACAAACCTAGAGGGTATTTATAATAAAATGACTGTCGAAACTGCCTAACCACAGAAACATATCTTTCAAACATGCTTCAAATTATCATTTAGCACATGTCCAAATGATCAGAAAAATTTCTTAGACCTCACGTGGAGACTTCAGGCAGATATTCTAACTTTCCATGAAGTATTGAGAAACTCTACAAAACCCCTTCATTCCCTGCTACTATTCCTATGATTGAGCACATCACATCAGGGCTACATCTCTGAGCCTCTTAATATTAGAAATCCCTTTGCTTTTACCTATATGATAGTATTTAGTTGGGACAGTGGAATTTGAATGTAATCAAGACCAGAAAAAGAAGCAACATGAGCTGCCTTGGTAAAGAAGTCAAGATTATGGACTTCAAAGTTCCTGAAAGAGATTGTTTCAAGCCAGAAGAGGCCAGGATGAACTACAGAGTAGAAAAAGATTTCGGAAACAAAGATTATGTCAGTGATGACTACAAAGGTCATGCTTATGATGATTTCTGATCATCATAAATGGGGATGACCTATTTATAGATAACAGGATGCTAACTTCTGCTGGTAAGAAGAGTTCAATCCCCTTTTGAGTCTGACTTGCTTGACCTAACCCATCTAAGGCACTGCACAGGAACTTTCAATAACTATGATTCAAGGCTATATATTTTAACTTTGGATCTTCCAACTTTTAGAAAGTCTATTCTTTTACGGTACTGAAACCAGAAGTGATCCACTGGAGAAAAATAGAAAACAAGGACAGGAGAGCAGAAACTAAATTGATGAAAACTCATAGGGTTGAGTTGAGAAAAGGAAAAGGCCATTTCATTTACTTAATGAGAAATTGTATTGAGGAGTAGGTTTGGGGATTTGGTTTTTGTTTTCTGTACCATGCAGAGAGCATTTTCCACCCCCAAAAGATTTTAGTCTTTGTGAATTCTAATCATTCCCCAAAGGACAATTTTCTTTGACTAAATAAGGTTTCTTGGTTGTAATGAACTGTAAAAGAGACTTATAAGCTCTTACTCACTTATGAAACCATCACAGATGAAAAACAATTAGAAGAATCTTGCTTCTTTAGCCTGCAGAAAGTGGAGCAAGAATCTCCAACCTTGGGTAGGTTTTAAAGTCCAACTCAGGAATATTGGGCTTCAAGGCCTCAGGAAGGATTAAGGTCAGACAGGATGGATGCCTCATCAATGTTCTTCCTGCATGTGAGAGATTCCAGCCTAGCCCATGAACCCTTGAGAAAGAACTCTGAATCACTAAAGCACCTCTCATTTAAAGAATATGTGTTCTGTGAGATAATATTAACTTGCCAAATCTGCCTTTCCAAAGGAAGAAACGTGACCCATTTATAAATGTTGAGTTAGAAACTCCATGCAGAATTAAGTGACCTCTGGAAGTTGTCTACCAGAGTGTGGATTCTACAGATATTTCTTCAAAGACTAAAAAGGCTTATTTCTCTTCAAAAATCTCAGCTGATTTCCCACAGCTGGCCTCAGAAGCATGCAGGAGGCTCTGGCTCTTTCATCTGGGCAAGGCTGGCAGAGGAAGGAGGAACCTTCTTCTTTCGTAGGCAGATTATGAGAATAAATTATCGCTCATGCTCCTAAGATATCTATATGGAAATAGGTGGACAAACACCTGATTTAGAAAGGATTAGAGTATTTATAACAAGTCTTTCTGAGCCTGGGAAACATAATACAATCTCTAAACAAATGGGAACTATAAAGAAATATTATTAAGCTAAACATGTATTCATATTCAGGGACAGACTTACCTCTTTCTGTTTAGATCATTTCCAAATTAAGAACAATTCCAAGCAAACCCCCACCACCTCACATGGATTCTAGTAGACAAATAGCTGTGTCTCCACAATACCGGGAATATTGGAGACAGGCAAATGTTGCATGTCCAGTTTGAAGGGTGATTATACGAATTGGGTCACTCTTGTCATATCCAACTAAATCAGTCAAGAAGCCAGGGTGGGAAAGCACTTGGAGCACATAACACTGTGCAAAGAATTTAATTTTTTGCAAGCCTAGCTGCCGAAACTGCCGGCTGTAACTCTAAAACCAGTTAGATCCAATAGCTGCTGAAACAGCCTGCCACAACTCTTAAGACTAGATTTTACCTACCACCATCACCCACCAATCAGAGCTTACCATCTCCTAAAACTCTACCAGTGCCAAGAAACTTTCTTTCAAAACAATAAATAACATTTCCCTTTCTAATAACCCCTTCTACCGTCTCTTTGCTCTTCAGACACACCAAAGACCACCCAGTCTCTAGGTATGTCTCGAATCACTATTCTGTGATTCTAAAAATACAATGTTAAGTTTAGAGATCCACCTTTATATTTTATTTTGACTTCAACATAGTGTATTATAGGTTGCCAAAAATCTGTATATTTAGAATGATCTAGATAACAAGGTCTATTTTTCCTTTTTATTTTCTTTTTCCAAACTCCCTAAAATGACACTTACTGAAAGTACATGAAAAACTAACTGTAAAGCACCCTACAAATATAGAATGTCATAATTGCTGAGATCTCATTGCTCTTAAAAATTGATAGAAATCCTTTTAGAAACATTTTGAGTAAGAAATACCTTCTTGACTATAAATCATTAATGCTGTATATTTCTCCCCCACCCCTCCACTCTGAATGCTACAGAAGAAGCTTAAAAACAAGAGAAAATAACAATAAATGATATTACAATGTTGTTTTGAAATGAGAATTGGTAGTGTAGGGCAGGGGAGAAACAGATGGGAAAGAAATGTACCCTGAGAGGATTATTTTTGTTTAAATAAGTTCATAATATGTGAAATGCACGATGGAAACTGACAGGGGAAGTGGAAGATCATTGTTTGAATAGCATCAATATAAACACAGATGCAAAAGAAATTGGCTTGGGAGATGGAAGAGCCTAGCTTGAATAATGTTGCTATACCAATAAAAACCATAAAAAGGGGAAAATATACAGAGTGGGTGATTATTTCTGTGATGCCTGAAGATGCACATTTCCACTGATATCAAGGGGAAAGGAAAATATGCCTTAGCTATGCCTTCGTTGGCTATTTTTGCTACAGTTCATAATTCTTCTGGGTTTCACCAGATCACGATTTGTCTAGCTACTGGGTTGTATGCTAAGCAGACCTCTATTTCAGAATGAAAGAGGCTGCATATGGGTCAGTCCTGGGAAATATAAAATATGGAGATGTGAAGCATGAATAAGTCCAACCCAAATCCCAGCCCTTGTTGACATTCACACTGTTTAATGGGAACCACAGAAATGTTTAGGGCAGACAGAGGACAAGGACAGCCATCCTCACTCCTACTCACTGCCTACCCACTCCTACTGTGCTCTAGGGAGCCCCTTCTGTGCCTCTCTTTCTTCACTACCTGCCTATGTTATCCTGGGGAGAGAGAAAGATATTTGTTAGTCATATAGTAATATTTATCAAGTATATCAGTAGAAAGAGCAACTGCTCCCCACTCAAACTTTTTAGTATTCCACTGGCTTGGCTGAAAATCTTTGGATTGCATTCATAAAAAGTAACCGTGGATAACAACAATAATAATAATGACAGCCAGTTTGTATTAAGGACAATATAACTGGCAGGCATTGTGGAATGTACATTATCTACATCATCTCTTGTAATCCTCACAACAGCCTGTGAAGTAGGCCAATTACTCCCATTTTGCCAATAGGAAAAATGAGACTCCAGGAGGTTTAATAAATTAATGAAAGTGGCACAGCTATTAAGAGGAGCTGGATACAGGTCTCCCAAAGTTTAGGCTGGCTGCCTTGACTCAATATTCATGGTTAATATTACATGCATTACATTACTTGAGGGATGTGGGCAAAGTTCACCCTAACCCCAATCTCCATTTTAGAGTTTCCTGAAATGTCATCATTAATAATTCAGCATTTTGTATTAAGCATTGCTCGCTTCTTGCAGGGCTTATCTTGCAAAGGACCAATGTCAAAAAAAAAATACCCATCTACTTTCCTTTGTGACAACTAAGACACAGAAAGCCTTGGAAAATGGAAAGAGCAGAGGATGTATTAAAGGGTGGCGGTGGGGAGAGAAGAGAAGGCACTAAAACCAACCTCTACCTATTTTGTAATTGTTTTATGGGGGCGAGCTTTGTGAGGAAGAAGGAAAGTAAAATATGGCAGAAAAGATTTCAATTAGATATAAAGCATTCCAAATATGAGACATTGTCATGGCCAATAGCAGGAAGCTGAGGAGTGTCCTTCCCTGGAGACTTTCGAGGTGAGGGAGGGATCTCTAGAAGAGCATCTTGCACAAGACAGAAGATGGACAAGATGATCTTCAGGGGAGCTTCCCATGCTGCTATCCAGTGTGCTGGTGCTGAGCTGATTGGCAATCCTTTCCAAGATTTGCGAAATAGACTCATCCTGTTTCGTCTTATTTCTATTATCCTGGACAGAGGCAGCAGCTCTTGTCTGTGAGAAGGGTCGTTGTGGAGAAGCAGTTCCCCCGTGATAAGATCCAGGAGGAAGAATAAGCAGGAAAGAAGGGGTAAGGCTCCTCACTGTTGACAACAAAAAGGGGCAGATGCTTCATAAAAGATGACAAGCAATCGCCTTTACAGGGGGTGATAATATGTCTGGTTGATCTGATGTGTGGCTGTTCTGCCACTGTTGTCTGAACAGAAGCAACTCCATTAAGAGACTCAGGATGTGCTCAGCAGTTTTCTTCTTCCAAAATATTATTCTTTTGAAAAAAATATATTCAAAATATTATTTCTTTTCACTAGTTGCAATTTGTTGTTCAATGAACAATGATGGGATTTTATTTTAAATCCTTTTCCTTTTTTTTTTGCTCTTTGAGAACGCTTGAGAATGTGCAGCCCTCAGCCCCAAGCATATAGACTTATGTTTTAAGTAAAACCAGAAGAGTTGGAATAAAAAAAAAAAATAAATCAGAAAAGCACTTTTTCTCTGCTTTAAGAGAAACTTGCTGGAAACAGAAAGTCCCTTTGAGGGGTCAACTCATCCATCCTCTTGAATTTAGGCAAGAAAAACTGACTCCAAAGCTGGATGAATCCCACTTTGTGCAACCCTCAGGTTCCATGCTTGCCTCTCTGCCTCTGTGTCATTGATTTGGGTTGGTCCTCTTTGAAATGAACACTGGATGGCTTCAGATATTTCAGCATCAGCAGCCTTGGTTCTGACGTGATAATGGTGTGATAGAGTAACAGTTTGAGATGTTACCTGGCACACAATTTTTTTTTTGAGACAGGATCTCACTCTGTTGCCCAGGCTGGAGTGCAGTGGTGTGATCATGGCTCACTGCAACCTTTACCTCCTGGGATCAAGTGATCCTCCCACCTCAGCCTCCTGAGTAGCTGGGACCACAGGTGTGCGACATCAGGCCTGGCGTGTGTGTGTGTGTGTGTGTGTGTGTATGTGTGTAAAAACAGGGTCTCCCTATGTTGCCCAGGCTGGTCTCGAACTCCTGGGCTCAAACAATCCTTTTGCCTCAGCTTCTCCAAGTGTTAGGATTACAAGTGTGAGCCACTGTGCCCAGCCACAATTTTTTTTTACCTCCTTGTGTCCATCCTTGCTCCAGCTGTTGACAAGGGGCCACCTTCAACCCCAGAGCTAGAGAACAAAGATGTCACATTGTCAGCTTCTGAAATAAAGTGTTTGAGATTTCTGATGTAAGACAGAAAATATAAGAAAAGGAATTACTCTAAGTAGAAACATCTCTGCCCCAACTGTTTTCTCCACATGTAAAAGAGAGAGGAAAGAGTCAGAGGGGAATCCAGGAAGCAGAGATGTGGATTCTTCTTTGTGTCTTGCTCCCACTACCCCCAGATAATTTGAAAGAAGGGAGTAGAACAAGAATCACTGTTTTTCTGGGGTCAGAGAGAGACCTATGTCTTCAGCATAGAGAGAGAGAGATGCAGAGAGATTCAGTCTTTAACATTCCTTCCAGGGACCTTGGTGCCTTTGGGCATGTGAACAACAAAGCAGAAAGATTGCAAGGATATGCTGGGGCAGTGAGGACCCCTGAGTGCCCCCTTCGTCTTTCCAGGGTCTCAGAAAGACTCAGAACCATGTGATCTTCAAGCTTGCAAGAAGGATGAGGAAGGGGTGATGGATGCACAGGAACCTGAGAGTCCAAACAAGGAAAATGAAGAGTAACCCTATGAGCCTGGATGGTGGAGGCTACAGCAAAACCACAAATACTTCAGAGAATGCAGCTCCTAAAGGATTGGGATGACCAAACACCTTGTGGTGGGGCAGTTTGAAAGGGGCTCCCTCAAAGACCAAACATTCATGTTACATCCCAAAGGATCAAGACAGGTGGACCCTGGGAAATGGGCAGCTCCTGTCCAGATGACACCATGGTGGGGGACCATTGCAAAACCACCTCCTCTCCAGCTAAAACTCTGTGCTGAGGAGGTGGGGAGGGAACAAACTGAAAGGGAGAATTTTTTCAAATCTATAGTGTAACTGAATCCTAACCCCATTTTCCTGAGAAGATACTACATAGGAGTAAATTTACTCAAAAGTGACTAGATTAAGTTTCTGCGTCAGGTGGAATGAGGGCTTAGGTTCAGATAATTGGCTTTTAAGAAGATGAAGAAACTTATTTTTGTTCACTTGAACCTGTATTAGCGAAAATTCATATCCAACAAATAGGTTACATTCCATGGAGATACTTATATTACACATTGTTAAGAAACAATGTACATAAGGATTTCCCAGCAGAATCATCTGAGTTCCCATTACTAGTGCTAAGCCCAGCGCTTCTCTGTGCCCAAAAGGAAAGAGTTGTTCAAATAAACTCTTCCACTCTGAGCTAGGATTGCTATAGGAGATAAAAGTTCCAGGCTCAGTGTGGCTAGCTACAAGGCACCATCTCATTAGGATTCTTTCTTTAATTAATTATGCAAACAGGTTATTGATTATTAATTAGAACATTTAGTGATGTTATTAAGAACCCGGAAGATAAATCTTTTTGACTTGTATTTAACTGGTAGATTGTATAAGCAATAAAGAGTACATGAGCAATAGCTGCATAATTACATTTTATGAATAGCAGAAACCTGTAAGGGATGTGGAGAGATTTAATTGACATTTAACAAGATAACTACAGCAAATTAATTAGGAATTATCTGCTAAAATATGAATTAACTTCTAATAATATTTTAACCAGCTACTCAGTGATGCTAGTGTCTTCTTATTGTTGCTAAAATACCTAAATAAAATATCCTGCTAGTTAATACGATAGTGCTAATTTGTCTCCCAAATAATCAATCAAGTTTTATTGAGATTTATTGTGTAGCCAGGACATATTAGAGTATAAAAAGAGGTATGGCATGTGGTTTCCCCTGTCGTGAGACTCACAGTGGGGAGTTCTGGGGAAGAACCCAGCACAAGTGACTGTTAGGAGCAACCTAACTTTAATGTGTTTGCAAAACCTGACTCACTTTGTCTCTTGAAGCCTCAGTTTTCTCATCTATAGAATGGGAAATGTGTCTCTCTAACTCAAGGTTTGTGGTAAAAATGCCTCAGTGCCTGCTACATGAGAATTGCTCAATAAATATTGGCTTAGTTCTAACTTACTATATGATCCTGAGAAGAAAACAGAATCAACAAATGCAATCCACACACAGACAAAAAGAAGGATTCCTGGATTGTTTCATGAAACAGAGTTTGCACACCTAGACACTGGAATAACCTAATGCCCATAAAAGAGGTAATGGTTAAATAAGTGGTTATTCATACTACAGAGCCGTCCACATCAGATAACCAGTGTGAGGCTCCTCCAAGTAGGCTAACATGGATAGATGTTCAACAAGTTTACAA